>NC_000012.12:34261321-34414016 GCF_000001405.40 Homo sapiens | reverse complement strand
AGAAACTGCTTTGAGATGTGTACATTCACCTCAGAGTTAAATCTTTGTTTTTATTCAGCAGTTTGGAAACATTGTTTATGTAGAATCTGCAAAGGAATATTAGTGCATTGAGGCCTATGGAAAAAAGAAAGTATCTTCAGATAAAAATGAGAAAGAAGCTTCTGAGAAACTGCTTTCTCATGTGTGCATTCATCTCACATATTTAAAACTATCTTTTGATTCAGCAGTTTTGAAACAATGTTTTTTAGAAACTGCAGAGGGATATTTTGGATTGCATTGAAGCCTATTTTGAGAAAGAAAATATCTTCAGATAAAAACTATAAAGAAGCTTTCTGAGAAACTGCTTTGTGATGTGTGCCATCATCTCACAGAGTTAAACTATTCTTTTATTCAGCAGTTTGGAAACACTGTTTTTGTAGAAACTGCAGGGGGATATTTGTAAGTGAATTGAGGCCTACATTGAAAACGAAAATATCTTCAGATAAAACTAGAAAGAAACTTTCTAAGAAACTGCTTTGTGATGTCTGCATTCATCTCACAGAGTTAAACCTTTCTTTTGATTCAGTAATTTGGAAACACGGTTTTTGAACAATCTGCAGAGGGATATCTGGGAGAGCATTGAAGCTTATGGTGAGAAAGAAAAATGTCTTCAGATAAAAATTCTAAAGAAGTTTTCTGAGAAAATGCTTTGTGATGTGGGCCTTCATCTCAGTGAGTTAAACCTTTCTTTTGATTCAGCAATTTGGAAACACTCTTTTTATAGAATCTGCAAAAGGATATTTGGGAGACTTTTGAGCCTTATGGTGAGAAAGAAAATAGCTTCAGATAAAAACTAGAAAGGAGCTTTCTTAGAAACTCCTTTGTAATATGTGCATTCTTCTCACAGACTTAAACCTTTCTTTTGATGCAGAAGTTTGGAAACACCATTTTTGTGGAAGCTGCGAAGGGATATTTGGCAAGGCATTGAGACCTAGGGTGGAAAAGGAAATATCTTCAGATAAAAACGAGGAAGAAGCTTTCTGAGAAACTGCTTGTTGGTTGTGCATTCACCTCACAGAGTTAAACATTTCCTTTTTTTCAACAGTTTAGAAACTCTGTTTTTGTAGAATCTGCGAAGGGATATTTAGGAGCACATTGAGGCCAATGGTGAAAAAGAAAATGTCTTCAAATAAAACTAGAAAGAAGCTTTCCCAGAAACAGCTTTGTGATGTATGCATTCATCTGTCAAAGTTAAACCTTTCTTTTGCTTCAGCACATTGGAAATACTGTTTCTGTAGAATCTGTGAAGGGATATTTGGGAGAGAATTGAGGCCTAAGTTGAAAAAGAAAATATCTTCATATAAAAAGGAGAAAGAATCTGAGAAACTGATTTGTGAAGTGTGCATTCATCTCCCAGAGTTAAACGTTTCTTTTGGTTCAGCAGTTCTGAAACACGGTTTTTGTAGAATCTGTGAGGGGACACTCTGAGCCCATTGAGAATTATGGTGAAAAAGAAAATGTATTCAGATAAATCCTAGAAAGAATCTTTCTGAGAAACTACTTTGTGAGCTGCACATTTGTCTCACAGGGTTAAATTTTTCTTTTGATTCAGGAGCTTGGAAACACTGCTTTTGTAGAATCTGCATAGGGATATTTGGGAGCACATTGAGGCTTGTAGAGACAAAGAAAATATCATCATATTAAAATTAGAAGGAAGCTTTCTGAGAAACTGCTTTGTGATATCTGACTTCATATCACGGAGTTAAACCTTTCTTTTTATTCAGCAGTTTGAAACACTGGTTTTGTAAAATCCGAGAAGGGATATTTTGGAGTGCATTGAGGCCTGTGTTGACAAAGAAAATATCTTCAGATAAAAACGAGAAAGATGTTTTCTAAGAAACCGCTTTGTGATATATGCATTCATCACACAGAGTTAAAGGTTTCTTTCCATTTAGCAGTTTGTAAACACAGTGATTGTAGAAATACGAGGGATATTTTGGAGTGCATTGAGGTCTATGGTGAAACAGGAAATATCTTCAGACAAAAACTAGAAAGAAGATTTCTGAGAAACTGCTTTGTGATGTGTGCATTCATCTCACAGAGTTAAACCTTTTTTTACTCAGCAGTTTGGAAACAATTTTTGTAGAATCTGTGAAGGGATATTTGGGCGTGCCTCTAGGATTATGGTGAAAAAGAATATATCTTCAGATAAAAACTAGAAAGAAGATTCTGAAAAACTGCTTTATGATGTGTGTATTCATCTCACAGAGATAAACCTTTCTTTTGATTCAGCAGTTTGGAAAGACTGTTTTTTAATAATCTGTGAAGGGATATTTGGGTGCACGTTAAGGCCTATGGTGTAAAATAAATTATCTTCAGATAAAAGCTGGAAAGAAGCTTTCTGAGAAATTCCTTTCTGATGTGTTGCATTCATCTCACAGAGTTAAATATTTCTTTTGATTCAACAGTTTGGAAACACTGTTTTCATAGAAACAGCAGAGGGATATTTGGGAGCACATTGAGGCCCATTTTGAAAAAGAAAATATCTTTAGATAAAAATTAGAAAGAAGATTTCTCAGAAACTGCTTTGTGATGTGTGCATTCACCTCACAGAGTTAAACCTTTCTTTTGATTCTGCAGTTTGGAAACACGGTTTTGGTAGAATCGGAGAAGGGATATTTGGGAGCACTTTGAAACCTATTGTGAAAAAGGAAATATCTTCAGATCAAAACTGGAAAGAAACTTTCTGAAAAACTGCTTTGTGATGTGTACATTCATCTCACAGACTTAAAAGTTTGTTTTCATTCAGTGGTTTGGAAAGACTATTTTTGTAGAAACTTCAAAAGGATATATGGGAGAGCATTGAGACTTATGTTGAAAAAGAAAATATCTGCAGATAAAAACTAGAAAGAAGCTTTCTGAGAAAATGCTTTGTGATGTGTGCATTCATCTTACAGTGTTAAATCGTTCTTTTGATTTGGCAGTTTGGAAAGACTGTTTTTGTAGGATCTGTGAAGGGATATTGTGGAGTGCTTTGTGGCCTATGGTGAAAAAGAAATTATCATTAGGTAAAAACTAGAAAGAAGCTTTTGAAAGACTGCTTTGCAATGTGTCCATTCATCTCACAGAGTTAAAGCTTTCTTTTATTCAGCAGTTTTGGAAACACTGTTTTTGTAGAATCTGTGAAGGGGTATTTTAAAGGGAATTAAGGCCTAAGGTGAAAACGAAATATCTTCAGATAAAAACTAGAAAGAAGCTTTATGAGAAACTGCTTTGTAATGTGTGCATTCATCTCACAGAGTTAATCCTTACTTTTGGTTCAGCAGTTTGGAAACATTGCTGTTGTAGAATCTGCAAAGGGACATTTTGGTTCACAGTGAGGCTTATGGTGAAAAAGAAATCATCTTCAGATAAATATGAGAAAGAATAATTCTGAGAAACTGCCTTTTGATGTGTGCATTCATCTCACAGAGTTAAACCTTTCTTTTTATTCAGCACTTTGGAAACATGGTTTTTGTACAATATACAGAGGGATATTTGGGAGAGCTTTGAAGAATATGGTGAAAAAGAAAATATCTTCAGATAAAAACTGGAAAGAAGCTTTCTGAGAAAGGGCTTTGTGGTGTGTGCCTTCATCTCACTGAGTTAAACCTTTCTTTTGATTCAGCAATTTGGAAACATTCTTTTGGTAGAATCTGTGAAAGGATATTTGGGAGAGCTTTGAGATTTATGGTGAGAAAGAAAATAGCTTCAGATAAAAACTAGAAAGAAGCTTTCTGAGAAAATTCCTTGGAAATATGTGCATTCATCTCACAGACTTAAACCTTTCTTTTGATGCAGCTGTTTGGAAACATTGTTTTTGTGGAATCTGTGAAGGGATATTTGGCAACGCATTGAGGCCTAGGGTGAAAAAGGTAATATCTTCAGATAAAAATGAAAAAGAAGCTTTCTGAGAAACTGCTTTTTAATTGTGCTATCATCTCACAGAGTTAAACCTTTCTTTTTTTCAGCAGTTTTGAAACTCTATTTTTGTAGAATCTTCAAAGGGATATTTAGGAGCTCAATGAAGCCAATGGTGAAAAAGAAAATATCTTCATATAAGACGGAGAAAGAACCTTTCTGAGAAAGTGCTTTGGAAAGTGTGTTTTCATCTCATAGAGTTTAACTTTTCTTTTGGTTCAGCAGTTTGAAAACACGGTTTTTGTAGAATCTGTGAAAGGACATTCTGAGCCAATTGAGACTTATGGTGAAAAAGAAAGTATCTTCAGATAAATACCAGAAAGAATGTTTCTGAGAAATGAATTTGTGATCTGTGCATTTTTCTCAGAGGGTTAAATCTATCTTTTGATTCAGGAGTTTGGAAACACTGTTTTTGTAAAATCTGCATAGGGATATTTGGGAGTGCATTGAGGCTTGTAGTGAAAAAAAAACTTCATATAAAAACTAGAAAGAAACTTTCTGAGAAACTGATTTGTGATGTCTGCATTCATCTCACGAAGTTAAACCATTCATTTTATTCAGCAGTTTGAAACACTGATTTTGTAGAATCTGACAAGGAATGTTTTGGAGCACATTGAGGCCTACGTTGAAAAAGAAAATAGCTTCAGATAAAAATGAGAAAGAAGCTTTCTGAGAAACTGCTTTGTGATGTATGCATTCATCTCATAGAGTTCAGCCTTTCTTTTTATTGAGCAGTTTGGAAAAACTGTTTTTGTAGAATCTGCAAAGGGATATTTGGGAGTGCATTGAGGCTTATATTGAAAGTGAAAATATCTTCAGATAAAAACGAAAAAGAAGCTCTCTGAGAACCTGCTTTGTGATGTACGCATTCATCTCACAGAGTTCAACCTTTCTTTTTATTCAGCAGTTTGGGGACACTGTTTTTGTAGAATCTGTGAAGGGATATTTCTGAATGCCTTGAGGCCTATGGTGAAACAGAAAATATCTTCAGATAAAAACGAGAAAGAAAGCTTCTGAGAAACTGCTTTGTGATGTGTATCCCAGGATAAAAACTAGAAGCATGTTATCTGAGAAAACACTTTCTCATGTATGCATTCACCTCATTGAGTTAAACGTTTCTTTTTATTCGGTAGTTTGGAAACACTGTTTTTCTAGAAACTGCGGATGGATATTTGGGAGCGCATTGAGGCCTATGGTGAATTAAAGCATATCTTCAGATAAAAATAAAAAGAAGCATTCTCCAAAACTGCTTTGTGATGTCTAGATTCATCTCACAGAGATAAATCTTTCTTTTTATTCAGCAGTTTGGAAGCAAGGATTTTGTAGAATCTGCAAAGGGATATTTGGGAGTGCATTGAGGATTACAGTGAAAAAGAATATATCTTCAGATAAAAACTAGAAAGAAGCTTTCTGAGAAACTGCTTTGTGGTGTGTGTATTCATCTCACAGAGTTAAACCTTTCTTTTGATTCAGCAGTTCGGAAAGACTGTTTTTTTAATAATCTGTGAAGGGATATTTGGTGCACGTTGAGGCCTACAGTGAAAAAGAAATCATCTTCAGATGAAAACTAGAGGGAAAATTTTTTGAGAAACTGCTTTGTGATGTGTGCATTCAACTCAGTTAAACTTTTCATTAGATTCAGCAGTTTGGAAACACTGTTCATGTAGAATCTGCAAAGGGATATTTGGGAGTGCTTTGAGGCCTATGTTGAAAAAGAAAATATCTTGAAATAAAAACTGGAAAGAAGCTTTCTGAGAAACTGCTTTGTGATGTGTGCATTCCTGTCACAGAATTAAAAGTTTGTTTTCATTCAGCAGTTTGCAAAGACTGTTTTTGTAGAATCCGTGAAGGGATATTTCAGAGCGCTCTCAGGTCTAGGGAGAAAATGAAAATACCTTCAGATAAAAACCAATAGAATATTTCTGAGAAACTGCTTTGTGATGTGTGCATTCACCTCACGGAGTTAAATGTTCCTTTTGATTCAGCAGTTAGGAAATACTGTTTATATAAAATCTACGAAGGGATATTTGGGAGCGTATTGTGTCTTATGGTGAAAAAGAAACTGTCTTCAGATAAAAACTAGAAAGAAGCTTTCTGAGAAACTGCTTTGTGATATGTGCATTCAACTCAGTTAAACCTTTCTTAAGATTCAGCAGTTTGGAAACACTGTTTTTGTAGAATCTGTGACAGGATATATGGGAGCGCATTGAGGCCTATGGTGAAAACGTAAATATCTTCAGATAAAAACTAGAAAGAATTTTTCTCAGAAACTGCTTTGCGATGTGTGAATTCATCACACAGATTTAAATATTTCTTTTGATTCAGCAGTTTGGAAAGACATTTTTGTAGAATCTGTGAAGGGATATTAGGGAGCATATTGAGGAGTATAGTGAAAAAGAAGATATCGTCAGATAAAAACTAGAAAGAAGCTTTCTGAGAAACTGCTTTTTGAATGTGCATTTAACTCACATAGTTAATGCTTTCATTTGATTCAGCAGTTTGGAAAGACTGTTTTTGTAATATCTGCAGAGGGATATTTGGGAGTGCATTGACTCCTTTGGTGAAAAAGAAAATATCTCCAGAAAAAAACTCAAAAGATTTCTGAAAAACTGCTTTGTAGTGTGTGCATTATTCTCACAGAGTTAAACCTTACTTTGATGCAGCAGTTTGGAAGCACTGTTTTTGTAGAATCTGCGAAGATCTCTGCCACACCGCTTGTGTTTTCCTTCCACAACACAGATGCCTCCACCTCCTCTTTCAAGCCTTCCTGCCAGTTTGGGCTGGCCCCCATTGGCCAAGACACTCCGTAGACATGAACCAGGGATGCCCATGGTCCCCTGGGCCCCACGCATGGGTGGTGAGGAGACATTTTCACAAGTGGTGTGGGACCTCTGCCATGCCGCTTTTATTTTCCTCTCACACCACAGGTGCCTATACCTCCCCATTGAAGCTTTCCTCCCACCTTGGGCTGGCCTCCGTGGGTGCGAGGCACTCCATGTGCATGAATCAGGAATGCCCATTGTCCCCTGGGCCCCAGGCACGTGCGGTGGGGAGGCACTTTCGCCCTTGGAGGGGGGACCTCTGAATCGCCATTTGTGTTTTCCTTCCACAACACCGGTGCTTTGACCTCCCCTTCCAAGAATTCCTGAGCATTGAGCTGGCACCCATGGGCCCCAGGAGCTCTGGGGGCATGAACCAGTGATGGCTAGGGTCCCCTGGGCCTTGCACATACAAGGTGGCTCAACCTCCCGTTTCAAGCCTTCCTGCCACCTTGGGCTGGACTGCATGCACCCGAGATGCTCTGTGGGCACGAACCAGGGACACGCAGGGTCCCCTGGGTCCCATGCATGTGCAGCGGGGAGGCAATTTCACCCGTGGTGTGGGACCTCTGCCTCATCGTTTGTGTTTTCCTTCCACAATACAGGTGCCTCAACCTCCCCTTGCAAGCCTTCCTTCCACCTCAGACTGGCCCGCTTGGGCCCAAGATGCTCTGTGGGCATGAATCAGGGATGCCCAGGGTCCTGTGGGCCCCATGCATACACAGTGGGGAGGCACTTTCGCCTGTGAGGGGGTACCTCGGCCTCGCCATTTGTGTTTTCCTTCAACAACACAGGTTCCTCGGCCTCTCTTTCCAAACTTTCCTGCCCCCTTAGGCTGGCCCCATGGGCCAAGATGCTCTGTGGGCATGAACCAAATATGCCAAGGGTCACCTGGGCCCCCCGCATGTGCAGTGAAGAGGCACTTTCGCCCTTGGGGGTGGAACTCTACCTCGCTGTTTGTGTTTTCCTTCCACAACACAGGTTCTTTGACCTCCCATTTCAAGAATTCCTGCCGCCTTTGGCTGGCCCCTTGGGCCCAAGGCACTCCATGGGCATGAACCAGGGATGCCCAGGGGCCCATGGGCCCCACACACACATGCACGGCAGAGAGGCACTTTCTCCCCTGAGGGGGGACCTCTGCCTCACCGTTTGTTTTCCTTCCACAACACAGTTGCCTTGACCTCCCTTTCCAAATTTTCCTGCTGCCTTGGGCTGGCCTCATGGGCCGAGACCCTCCACAGGTGTGAACCAAGGACACTCCTAGTCCCCTGGGCCCCACTCATGCATGCTGGGGAGGCACTTTTGCTCGTGTGGGGGGACCTCTGCCTCGCCGCTTGTGTTCTTCCACATCACAGGTGCTTCGACCTCCCTTTTCAAGAATTCCTGCCACCTTGGGCTGGCCCCGTTGGGCCCAAGGCACTCCATGGACATGAACCAGGGCTGCCCAGGGTCCCATGGGCCCCATGCATGCACAGAGGGGAGACACTTTCGCCTGTGAGGGGGGACCTCTGCCTCGCCGTTTGTGTTTTCCTTCCACAACACAGGTGCCTCGACCTCCACTTTCAAGCCTTCCTGCTACCTTGGGCTGGCCTCCATGGGCCCGGGGTGCTCTGTGTGTGCAAATCAGGGATGCCCAGGGTCCACTGGGCTCAGCGATGTGTGGTGGGGCGGCACTTTGGCCCCTGGGTGGGAACCTCTGCCTCGCCATTTGTGTTTTCCTTCCACAACACAGGTGCCTCAAACTCCCATTTCACGTCTTCCTGCTGCCTTGGGCTGGCCCCCGTGGGCCGAGGCTCTCCATGGGCATGAACCAGGGATGCCCTGGGTCCCCTGGGCCCCAGGTATGTGCAGTGGGAAGGCACTTTCACCCATCAGTGGTGGACCTCTGCCTCGCCATTTGTTTTCCTTCTGGGTCACAGGTGCCTCGACCTCCCCTTTCAAGCCTTCCTGCAGCCTTGGGCTAGCGTCCATGGGAGTGAGGCACTCTGTGGGCACAATCCAGGGACACTCAGCGTCCCTGGGGCCCTGCGCATGAGCGGTGGAGAGACACTGCAGCCCTTTAGTGGGGAGCTTGGCCTCGCCATTTGTGTTTTCCTTCCACAACACAGATGCCTCGACCTCAGCTTTTAAGCCTTCCTGTCACCTTGGGCTGGACCTCGTGGGCCGAGGTGCTCCTTGGGTGCCAACCAGGGACACCCAGGGTTTCCTGGGCCTTGTGCATGTGCAGTGGGAAGGCACTTTCACCCATAGTGGGGGACCTCTGCCACGCAGTTTGTTTTCCTTCCACTCTGCAGGTGCCTCGACCTCCCTTTCAAACCTTCTGTCTGCCTTGGGCTGGGCCCCGTATGCCAAGGCGCTTCGTATGGGCTAACCTGGAATACCCACAGTCCTCTAGGCCCTGCGCATGTGTGTTGGGGGGCACTTTTGCCTGTGGGGTGGGACCTCTGCCTCACCATTTGTGTTTTCCCCCACAACACAGGTGTCTCGACCTCCCCTTTCAAGCCTTCCTGCCACCTTGGGCTGGCCCCTGTCGGCCTGAGGCCCTCCATGGCCATGAATCAGGGATGCCCAGAGTCCCCAGGGCCCCATGCATGTACAGTCAGAAGGCACTTTGGCCCTTGTGGGGGGACTTCTGCCTCACCGTTTATGTTTTCCTTCCACACCACAGGTGCCTTGACCTCCCCTTTCAAGCCATCCTGCCACTTGGGCTGACATCTGTGGGCCTGAGGCACTCTGGGGGCATGAAACAGGGATGCCCAGGTTCCCCTGGGCCACACACATGGGCAGTGCAGAGGCACTTTCGCCCATTAGGGAAACCTTTGTCTCGCCTTTGTGTTTTCCTTCCACACCACAGGTGACTCGACTTCCCCTTTCAAGCCTTCCTGGTGCCATGGGCTGGCATACGTGGGCCTGAAGTGCTCCATGTGTGCATTAAAGGGAAGCCCAGGGTCGCCTGGGACCCCACGTTTGTGCGGTTGGGAGACACTTTCGCCCGTGGGGGGGTCCTCTGCAGTGCCATTTCTGTTTTCATTTCACACCACAGGTGCCTCGACCTCCCCTTTCAAGACTTCCTGCCACTTCGGGCTGGCCCCCGTGGGCCCGAGTCCCTTTGTGGGTGTGAGCCAGGAATGCCATGTTCCCAGAGCCATGCATATTTGTGGTGGGGAGGCACTTTCGCCCATGGACGTGGACCTCTGCTTCGCTATTTGTGTTTTCCTTCCACAACAGAGGTGACTCGATATCCCCTTCCAAGAACTCCTGCCACCCTGGGCTGGCCCCAGTGGGCCTGGGGTGCTCCACAGGTGTGAACCAGGGATGCACAGGTTCCACTGGACCCTGTGCATGCACGGTGGGGATTCACTTTCACCCGTGGGGGTGGACCTGCACCTCATCATTTGTGTTTTACTTCCACAACACAGGTGGCTCAATCTCCTATTTCAAGCCTTCCTGCCTCCTGGGCTGGCCCCCGTGGGCTGATTAACTCCTTGGCCATGAAACAGGGAAGACCAGGGTCTCCTAGGGCCCTGCATGCACGGTGGGTTGGCACTTTCGCCCGTGGGGGTCACCTCTAGCGCGCCTCTTGTGTTTTCGTTCCACACTGCTGGTGCCTCGACTCCCTTTTCAAGACTTCCTGCCGCCTTGGGCTGGCCCCCGTGAGCCGAGGCACTCCGAGGGTGTGAACCAGGGATGACCAGGGTCACCTCGGCCCCACACATGCACCGTGGGGAGGCACTTTCCCCCGTGGGGGGGATCTCTGCTGCACAATTTGTGTTTTCATTCCAAACCACAGGTGCTTCGACCTCCAAATTCAAGCCTTCCTGCCATCTTGGGCTGGCCCCTGTGGGCCTGAACCACTCCGTGGGCTTGATTCAGGGATGCCCAGGGTCCCCAAAGCCCCCTGAATGCGCGGTGGGGAGGCACTTTCACCCGTGGGGAACCTCTGCCTTGCCGTTTGTGTTTTCCTTCCACAACACATGTGCCTCAGCCTCCCCTTTCAAGCTTTCCTCCCACCTTGGCTTGGCCCCGTGGGACTAGGTGCTCCATGGGCGTGAAGACCTCCGCCACGCCATTTGTGTTTCCCGTCCACAACACAGGTGCCTCGACCTCCCCTTTCAAGCCTTCCTGCCGCCTTAGGCTGGCCTCCATGGACTGAGGCGCTCCAAGGCCATGAACCAGGGATGCCAAGGGTCCCCTAGGCCCTGCAGATGCATGGGGGGAGGTACTTTCGCCCGTGGTTGACGCCTCTGCCTGGCCGTTTGTGTTTTCCTTCCACACCACAGGTGCCTCAGCTTGCCCTTTCAAGCCTTCCTGCTACTTTGAGCTGGACCCCGTGGGCCCCTCCGTGGCCGTGAACCAAGGATGCCCAGGTTCCCTTAGGACCCATGCATGCATGGTGGGGAGGCTCTTTCATCCACGGAGGGGGGACCTCTGCCGTGACATTTCTGCTTTGTTTCCACACCTCAGGTGCCTTGACCTCTCCTTTCAAGTCTTCCTGCTGCCTTGGGCTGGCCCCCGTGAGCCAAGGCGCTCCACGGCCACGAACCAGGGATGCCGAGGGTCCCCTGGGCCCTGCGGATGCATGGTGGGGCGGTACTTTCGCCCGTGGTTGGCACCTCTGCCTCACCGTTTGTGTTTTCCTTCCATACCACAGGTGCCTCGACCTCCCATTTCAAGCCTTCCTGCTACCTTGAGCTGGCACCTGTGGCCCAAGGCCCTCTGTGGCTGTGAATCAAGGATGCCCAGGATCCCTTGGGCCCCACGCATGCGCGGTGGGGAGGCTCTTTCATCCGTGGAGGAGACACCTCTGCCGCGACGTTTCTGCTTTACTTCCACACCACAGGTGCCTCGACCTCCCCTTTCAAGTCTTCCTGCCGCCTTGGGCTGGCACCTGTGGGCCGAGGCTCTCTGAGGGTGTGAAGGAGGATGCTCAGGGTCTCCTGGGCCGTGCGTATTCGTGGTGGGGTGGTACTTTCGCCTGTGCGGGGAACCTCTGCCGCACCGTTTGTGTTCTCCTTCCACAACATAGGTGCCTCGGACTCCCCTTTCAAGACTTCCTGCCGCCTTGGGCTGGCCCATGTGGGCCCGTGGCGCTCCGTAGGCACAAACCAGGGATGCCCAGGGTCCCTTAGCCCCCTCGCATGCGCGATGGGGTGGCACTTTTGCCCGTGGGAGAGACCTCTGCCCCACCTTTTGTTTTCCTTCCACACACAGAAGCCTTGACCTCCTCTTTCAAGTCTTCCTGCCGCCTTGGGCTGGCCCCTGTGGGCCAAAGTGCCCCATAGACGAGAACCAGGGATGCCCAGGGTCCCATGCGCCTCATGCGAGGGCAGTGGGGAAGCAATTTCGCCCGTGGGGGGGTAGGGGACCTCGGTCGCGCCGTTTGTGTTTTCCTTCCACACCACCGGTGCCTTGACCTCCCATTGCAAGCCTTCCTGCCGCCTTGGGCTGGCCCCCTTGGGCCCGAGGCGCTCCATGGGCTTGAAACAGGGACACCTGGGGTCCCCTGGGCCCCACGCATGGGCGGTGGGGAGGAACTTTCACCCGTGGCATGGGACGTCTGCCTCACCATTTGTGTTTTCCTTCCACACACAGGTGCCTCGACTTCCCCTTTGAAGACTTCCTGCCCCCTTGGGCTGGCCCCTGTGTGCTGAGGCACTCCGTGGGTGTGAACTAAAGATGCTCAGGGTGGTCTGGGCCCTGCACATGCGTGGTGTGGAGGCACTTTTGCCCTTGGGAGGGCCCGTGTCACACCGTTTCTGTTTTCCTTCCACAACACGGGTGCCTCGACCTCCCCTTTCAAGCCTTCCTGCTGCCTTCGGCTGGCCCCCGTGGGCCTGAGGTGCTCTGTGGATGTGAACCAGGGATGCCCTGTGTCCACTGGGCCACACGCATGAGCAGTGGGGAGGCACTTTTGCCCGTGGGCGGCAGACTTCTGCCTCACCGTTTGTGTTTTCCTTCCACAACACAGGTGCCTGGCCCTCCCCTTTCAACTCTTCCTGACGCCATGGGCTGGCCCCCAAGGGCTGAGGCACTCCATTGGCACAAAACTGGGATGCCCCGGGTCCGCTGGGCCCCGCGCCTGCCCAGTGGGGAGGCACTTTTGCTCGTGGAGGTGACCTCTGCTGCGCCGTTTGTGTTTTCCGTCCACACCTCTGGTGTCTCGACCTCCCCTTTCAAGCCTTCCTGCTGCCCCGGGCTGGTCGCCATGGGCCCCAGACACTCCGTGGGCATAAACCAGAGATGCCTAGGGTCCCCTGGGTCCTGTGCATGCACAGTGGGGAGGCACTTTCACCTATCGGGGGAACCTCTACCTTGCCTTTTGTGTTTTCCTTTACAACACTGGTGCCTCGACCTCCCCATTCAAGCCTTCCTGCTGCTTTTGGCTGACCCCAGTGGTCCCGAGGTGCTACGTGTGCATGAAGCAGGGATACCCAGGGCCCCCTGGGCCCAGAAAATGCATGGTGGGGAGGCACTATCGCCTGTGAGAGGGGACATCTGCCTCGCTGTTTGTGTTTTCCTTCCACAACACAGGTGCCTCGACGATCTCTTTCAAGCCTTCCTGCCGCCTTGATTTGGCCCATGGGCCGATGTGCTCTGTGGGCATAATCCAGGGATGCCCAGGGTCCACTGGGCCCCATGCATGTGCGGTGGGGAGGCACATTCGCCCGTGGGCAGGACCTCTGCCGTGCCATTTCTTTTTTCCCTCCACAACACAGGTGCCTCAACCACCCCTTTCAAGCCCTCCTGCTGCCTTGGGCTGGCCCCTGTGGTATCAAGGCACTCTGTAAGTGTGAACCAGTGAAACCCAGGGTTGGCTGGCCCTCATGGGCCCAAGGTGCTCCATGGGCACGAACCAGGGATGCTCAGGGTCCCTTGGGCCCTGCACATGTGCGGTGGGTAGGCACTTTTGCCCATGGGTGGGGACCTCTGCCTTGCCGTTTGTGTGTTCCTTCAACAACACAGGTTTCTCGACCTCCCCATTCAAGCCTTCTTGCTGCCTTGGGCTGGTCCCTGTGGGCCCAAGGTGCTCCCAGGGCATGAACCAGTGCTGCCCAGGGTCCCCTGAGCCCTGCGCATGTGCGGTGGGGAGGCACTTCAGCTCGGGTAGGGGACCTCTGCTGCGCCATTTGTGTTTTCCTTCCACAACACAGGTGCCTTGACCTGTCCTTTCAAGCTTTTGTGCCACCTTGGGCTGGCCCCCATGGGCCAAGGTGCTCTGTTGGTGCAAAACAAGGATGCCCAGGGTCCACTGGACCCTGCGCATGCCCAGTGGGTAGGCACTTTCGTCCGTTGCAGGGGACCTCTGATGCACTGTTTGTTTTCCGTCCACACCTCTGGTGTCTCTACCTCCCCTTTCAAGACTTCCTGCCACCTTGGGCTGGTCAACTTGGGCCCTAGGCACTCTGTGGGCATGAAGCAGGGATGCCCACGGTCCCCTGGGCCCTGTGAATGCGCGGTAGGGAGGCACTTTCGCCCCGTTGGGGGGACCTCTGCCTCGCCGTTTGTTTTCCTTCCACAACACAGGTGCCTCGACCTCCACTTTCAAGCCTTCCTGCCGCATTGGGCTCATGCTCATGGGCCACAGGCACTCCACGGGCGCTAACCAGGGATGCCAGCTTACCCTGGGCCCTGTGCATGCACAGTGGGGAGGCACTTTCACTGTGCTGGGGGACGTTTGCCTCTCCATTTGTTTTCCTTCCACAACACAGATGACTGGACCTCCCCTTTCAAGCCTTCCTGCCGCCTTGGGTTGGCCACGGTGGGTCGAGGCACTCTGTGGGCGTGCATCAGGGGTGCCTAGGGTCCCCTGGGCTGTGAACATGCACCGTGGTGAGGCACTATCGCCTGTGGAAGGGGACCTCTGCCTCGCCGTTTATGTTTTCCTTGCACAACACAGGGTCCTCGACCTCCGCTTTCAAGCCTTCCTGCCGCCTTGGGCTGGCCCCTGTGGGCCCGAGGCACTCCCTGGGCATGAACCAGCATTGCCCAGGGTCCCCTCGGCCCCATGCATGCGCGATGGGGAGGCACTTTCACGCTGTGGGTGGGGTCCGCTGCCGTGCCGTTTGTGTTTTCCTTGCACAACACAGATGGCTCGACCTCCCCATTCAAGCCTTTGTACATCCTTGGGCTAGCCCCTGTGGGCCTGAAGGACCCCTTGGGCTCGAAACAGGGATGTGCAAGGTCCCCTGCACCTCACGCGTGCCCGGTGGGGGCCACATTCGCCCATTGGGGAGCTCTGCCGCACCGTTTGTGTTTTCCTTCCAAACCTCAGGTGACTCAACCTCTCCTTTCAAGCCTTCCTGCCACCTTGGGCTGGTCCCCGTGGTCCCGAGGCCCTCCGTGGGTGCAACCGGGAACACCCAGGGTCCCCTGGGCCACGTGTATGCGTGGGGGGAGGGAATTTCCCCCATTGGGGGCTACGGCTACCTCACCGTTTGTGTTTTCATTCCACAACACAGGTGCCTTGACCTCCCATTTCAATCCTTCCTGCTGCCTTGGTCCGGCCCCCATGGGCCTGAGGCACTCCGTGGGTGCAAAATAGGAAGCCCAGGGTCCCCTGGGCGCTGCGCATGAGTGGTGGGGAGGCACTTTCACCCGTGAAGGGAAACTCTGCCTCGCCGTTTGTGTTTTCCTTCCACAACACAGGGGCCTCAACCTCCCCATTCAAGCATTTCTGCCGCCTTGGGCTGGCCCCCGTGGACCCGAGGAGCTCCATGGTCACGAATCAGTGATGCCCAATGTCCCCTGGGCCCCGTGCATGCCCAGTGGGGAGGCATTTTCGCCCGTGGGAGGTCCTCCGCCGAGCCGTTTTTGTTTTCCTTCCACACCACAGGTGCCTCGACCTCCCATTTCAAGCCTTCCTGCCAACTTGTGCTGTCCCCCATGGGATCCAGGCACTCCGTGGGCATGAACCAGGTATGGCCAGTTTTTCCTGGGCCCCATGCCTCTGTGGTGGGCAGACACTTTCGCCCGCTGGCAGGGGGCCTCTGCTGCGCCATTTCTCTTTTCCTTCCACAACACAGGTGCCTCGACCTCACCTTTCAAGCATTCCTGCCGCCTTGGGCTGGCCTCAGTGGGCACGATGTGCCCTGTGTGCACAAATCAGTGATGCCCAGGTCCCCTGGGCCCTGTGCATGTGCATTGGGGAGGCTCTTTCGCTCCTGGGGCTGGACATCTGCCCCGTGGTTTGTGTTTACTTTCCAAAAGACAGGTGCCTCGACCTCCCCTTTGAAGACTTCCTGCCGCCTTGGGCTGACCACGTGGGCTGAAGTGCTCCATGGGCACGAACCAGGGATGCCCAGTGTACCCTGGGCGGCAAGCATGGATGTTGGGGAGGCACTTTCACCTGTGGGGGCGGACCTCTGCTTCGCCTTTTGTGTTTTCTTTCCACAACACAGGTGCCTCGACCTCCCTTTTCAAGCCTCCCTGCTGCCTTGGGCTGGCCCCATAGGCCGAACCGCTCCATAGGCATGAACCAGGGATGCCCAGGGTACCCTGGGTCCCAAGCATGGGTGTTGGGGAGGCACTTTCACCTGTGGGGGCGGACCTCTGCCTCACCTTTTGTGTTTTCCTTCCACAACACAAGTGCCTCGAAATCAGGGACACCCAGGGTCCCCTGGGCCCCATGCATGCCTGGTCAGGAGGCACTTTTGCACGTGGTGGGGGATCTCTGCTGCACCATTTGTGTTTTCTTCCACAACACAGGTGCCTCGACCTCCCATTTCAGGCCTTCCTGCTGCCTTGGGCTGGTCCCGGTGGCAGCGAGGCACTCTGTGGGCATAAACCAGGGACACCCAGGGTCCCCTGGGCCCCATGCTTGTGCGTTGGGGTGGCACTTTCGCCTGTGGGGTGGGACCACTGCCTGGCCGTTTGTGTTTTCCGTCCACAACACAGGTGCCTCGACCTTCCTGCCACCTTGGGCTGGCCCCCATGGGCTGAGACCCTTAGTGAGTGAGAACCAGGGATGCCCAGGTTCCCCAGGGCCCTGCACATGTGCGGTGGAGAGGCACTTTCAAACGTTGGGGGGAAACCTCTGCCACGCCTTTTGTGTTTTCCTTCCACAACACAGGTGCTTCCACCTACATTTCAAGGCTTCTTGCCGCCTTGGGCAAGCCCCCATGGGGCTGAGGTGCTCCGCAGCATGAACCAGGGAAGCCCAGGGTCCCCTGGGCCCCATGCATGTGTGCTGGGGAGGCACTTTCGCCCGTGGGTGGGGGGACCTCTGCCTCCCCGTTTGTTTCCTTCCACAACACAGGTGCCCCTACCTCCCTTTTCAAGCCTTCCTGCCGCCTTGGGCTGGCCCGCATGGGACCAAGGCACTCTGTTGGTGTGAAACAAGGACACCTAGCCTCCCCTGGACCCTACGCATGCTGGTGGGGAGGCACTTTCGCCCATGTTGGGGGAACTCTGCCTCACCGTTTGTGTTTTCCTTCCACAACACAGTGCCTGGATCTCCCCTTTCAAGCTTTCCTGCCGCCTTGGGCTGGCCACTATGGACCAAGGCACTCCCTGGGCTTGAACCAGGGACACCCAGGGTCCCCTGGGCCCCGTGCATGTGCAGTGCAGAGGCACTATCGCCCATTGCAGGGGTACCTCTGCCTCACCGTTTGTGTTTTCCTTCCACAACGCAGTTGCTTCAACCTCTCATTTCAAGCCTTTCTGCTGCCTTGGGCTGGCCCCCATAGGCCCGAGGCACTCTGTGACCACTATCCAGGGACACCCAGGGTCTCCTGGGCCCCTCGCATGCACGGTGGGGAGGCACTATTGCCCGTGTTGGAGGACCTCTGCTGTGACGTTTCTTTTTTCCCCCGACAACACAGGTGCTTCGACCTCCCCTTTCAGGCCTTCCTGCCACCTTGGGCTGGCCTCCATGGGCCGGAGGACCTCCGTGGGTGTGAACTAGGGATGCCCAGAGTTCCCTGGGCCTCACGCATGCACGAGGGGGGACACTTTGGTCCATGGGGGTGAACTCTGCCGCACCCTTCGTGTTTTCCTTCCACATCAGAAGTGCCTCGACTTTGCCTTTCAAGCCTTCCTGTCGCCTTGGGCTGGCCCCTGTGGGCCAAAGCGCTTCGTGGGCATGAACCAGGGATGCCCAGCATCCCCTGGGACCTGCGCATTTGTGGTAGTGGGGCACTTTCGCCCATGGGGGGACTTCTGCCTCACCATTTCTGGTTTTCTTCCACACCACAGGTGCCTCGATCTTCTTTCAAGCCTTCCTGCCACTTTACCTGGCCCTCGTGGGCCAAGGTGCTCCACAGGCAGGAACGGGAGATGCTCAGGGTCCTTTGGGTCCCAGGCATGCATGCTGGGAAGGCACTTTCATCCGTGGGGAGGGGACCTCTGCCTCGCCGTTTGTGTTTTCCTTCCAGAACACAGGTGCCTCTACCTCCTTTCAAGATTTCCTGCCATCTTGGACTGGCCCCTGTGGGCGCAAGGCCCTCCAAGGGCATGAACCAGGGATGCGCAGGGACCCCTGGGTCCCACGCCTGTGAGTGGGGAATCACTGTTTCCCATTGGGGGGGACTCTGCCACGTCGTTTGTATTTTCCTTCCACAACACAGGTGCCTCGACCTCCCAATTCAAGCTTTCCTGCCGCCTTGGGCTGGCTCTTGTGGGCCTGAGGCGCTATGTGAGCATGAACCAGGGATGTCTGGGGTCCCCTGGGCACCAAGAATTTGCAGTGGGGAGGTACTTTCCCCCGCGGGTTGGGACCTCTGTTGTCGTTTGTGTTTTCCTTCCACAGCACAGGTGCCTCAACCTCCCCTTTCAAGCTTTTTTGCCACCTTGGGATGGCCCGCTTGGGTCCCAGGGGCTCTGTGGGCATGAAGCAGGGATGCCTGGGTCCCCTGGGTCCCACCTATGCACGATGGGGTGGCACTTTCACCCACGGGAGGGGATCTCTGCCATGCCATTTGTATTTTCCTTCCACAACACAGGTGCTTCGACCTCCCATTTCAAGACTTCCTTCGGTCTTGGGCTGGCCCCCATGGGACCGAGGCACTCTGTGGTCTCGAGCCATGGATGCTCAGGGTGCCCTGGGCCCCACGCATGTGCGGTCGAGAGGCACTTTTGCCCGTGGTGGGGGACCTCTGACTCGTTTGTGTTTTCCTTCCACAACACAGATGCCTCGATCTCCCCTTTCAAGCCTTCCTGCAGCCTTGGGTTGGCACCCATGGGCCAAGATGCTCTGTGGGCAGGAACCAGGGATGATCAGGGCCCTCTGGGCCCCTGGCATGTGCGGCGGAGAGGCACTTTCTCCCGTGGGGTGGGACCTCTGCCTCGCAACTTATTTTCCTTCCACAAAACAGGTGCCTCGACCTCCCATTTCAAGCCTTCCTGCCGCATTAGGCTGGCCTCCGTGGGGCCAAGACTCTCCGTGGACATGAACTAGGGACACCCAGGGTCCCTTGGGTCCCACGCTTGTGTGATGGGGAGACACTTTCGCTCATGGGGTGGGGGAACTCTGCCGTGCCATTTGTGTTTTCCTTCCACAACACAGGGACCTCGACCTCCCCTTTCAAGCTTTCCCACCACCTTAGGCTGGCCCCTGTGGGCCCAAGGCACTCCACGGACATGAACCATGGACGCCCAGGATTCCCTGGGCCCTGCACATGGAGTTTGGGAGGCAATTTCGCCGTTGGGGGGAACCTCTTCCCTCGCCTTTTTTGTTTTTTCCTTCCACAACAAGTTGCCTCAACCTCCCCTTTCAAGCCTTCCTGCTGCCTTGGCCAGGCGCCCGTGGGCCCGAGGCACTCCAAGGGCATGAATCAGGGAAGCCCAGGGGGGGATCCTCTGGGCCCTGTGCATGCACGGTGGGGTGGCACTTTGGCCAGTGGGCAGGGACCTCTGCCTCGACCTTTGTGTTTTACTTCCACACCAGAAGTGCCTCGACCTCCCTTTTCAAGCCTTCCTGCCGACTTCGCCTGGCCCCCGTGGGCCAAGGCACTCATGGTCACGAAGCAGGGACACCCAGGGTCCCCTAGGCTCCATGCATGCATGGTGGGGAGACACTTTCTCTCGTGGGGTGGACTTCTGCCTCACCGTTCGTGTTTTCCTTCCACATAGCACATGCCTCGACCTCTACTTTTAAGCTTTCCTGCCGCCTTGGGCTGGCCCCCGTGGGCAGAGGTGCTCTGTGAGCAGGAGCTAGGGATGCTCAGGGTCCTCTGGGACCTGAGCATGTGCAGTGGGGAGGGACGTTCACCCGTGGGGGGGACTTCTGCCTCGCCGTTTGTGTTTTCCTTCCACAACACATGTGCCTCAACTTCCTCTTTCAAGCCTTCCTGCGGCCTTGGGCTGGCCACCGTGGGCCTAAGGTGCTCTGTGGGCATGAAACAGGGACCCCCCAGGGTTCTCAGGCCCCACTCAAGCCTGGTGTGGAGGCACTTTCGCCCGTTGTGGGGGACCTCTTCCTCGCCCTTTTTGTTTTTCTTCCACAACACAGGTACCTCAACCTCCCCTTTCAAGACTTCCTGCCGCCTTGGGCTGGCCCCCGTGGGATGAGGCACCCATGGGTGTAAATCGCGGACGCCCAGGGTCCCCTGGGACCCACGCATGCATGGTGGGGTGGCACTTTCGCCCGTGGAGGGACCTCTGCTGCACGGTTTCTGATTTCCTTCCACAACACAGGAGCCTCGACCTCCCATTTCAAGACTTTCTGCCGCCTTGGGCTGCCCCCGTGGGCCCGAGGTGCTCCATGGGTGTGAACCAGGGATGCCCAGGGTCCCCTGCGTCCCATGCTTGCGCGGTGGGGAGGCACTTTCGCCCTTGGGGTCGGAGCTCTGACTTGCCTTTTGTGTGTTTCTTCCACAACACAGGTGCCTCAACCTCCCCTTTCAAGCCTTCCTGCCACCTTGGGCTGGCCCCTGTGGGCCCGAGGCACCCCTTGAGCACGATTCAGAGATGCCCGGATCTCCTGGGCCCCACGCATGCGTGGTGTGGAGGCACTTTCTCCCATGGTGGGGACCTCTGCCTCGCCGTTTGTGTTTTCCTTCCACAGCACAGTTGCCTCGACCTCCCGTTTCAAATCTTCCTGCTGCCTTGGCCTGGCCCTTGTGCACCCGAGGCGCCCCATGGGTGTGAACCACAGAAGTCCATGGTCCCCAAAGCCCTTAGAATGTGCGGTGGTAAGACACTTTCGCCCGTGGGGGGGACCTCTGCCGCGCCGTTTATGTTTTCCTTAAACATCACAAGTTCCTTGACCTCGCTTTTCAAGTCTTCCCGCGCCTTGGGCTGGACCCTGTAGGCCGAGGTGCTCCGAGGGCATGAACCAGGGACACCCACGGTCCACTGGGCCCTGAGCATGTGTGGTGGGGAGGCACTTTCGCCTGTGGGGGTGACCTGCCTCGCCGTTTGTGTTTTCCTTCCACACCACAGGTGCCTCGACCTCCCCTTTCAAGCCTGCCTGCAGCCTTGTGCTGGCCCTTGTTGGACGGAGGCACTTCGTGGGTGGGAATCAGGGACACTCAGTGTCCTCTGGGCCCTGGACATGCACGCTGGGGAGGGACTTTCGCCCATGGAGGGGACCTCTGCCTCACCGTTTGTGTTTTCCTTCCACAACCCAGGTGACTCGACCTTCCCCTTTCAAGCCTTCCAGAAGCCTTCAGCTGGCCCCTGTGGGTGCGAGTCAGGGATGTCCATGGTCCCCTGGGCTGCACGCATGTATGGTGGAGGGGCATTTTTGGCAGTGGGGGGGACCTCTGCCTTGCCGTTTGTTTTCCTTCGACAACACAGGTGCCTCAACCTCCCCTTTCAAGCCTTCATGACGACTTGGGCTGGCCCCCGTGGGGCCCGAGGCTCCCCGTGGGCACTAACCAGAGACGCCCATGGTCCCCTGGGCCCCGTGCATGCAAGGTAGGGAGGCACTTTCGTCCATGGGAGGGGTACCTCTGCCGTGCAATTTGCGTTTTCCTTCACACCACAGGTGCCTCGACATTCCCTTTCAAGCCTTCCTGCTGCCTTTGGCTGGCCCCTGTGGGCCGACACACTCCATGAGCATGAACCAGCCATACCCAGGGTCCCCTGGGAGCCACGCATATGCTGTGGGGAGGCACTTTCGGCCAAGGGGAGAGACATCAGCCGCGCCGTTTTTTTTCCTTCCACACCATGATGCTTTGGCCTTCCTTTTCAAGCCTTCCTGGTGCTTTGGGCTGGCCCCCATGGGCCGAGGCACTCCGTGGGTACAATCCAGGGATGCCCAGAATCCTCTGGGCCCTGAGCATGCGCGGTGGAGAGGCACTTTCGCACGTGGGGGCGGATCTCTGACGAGCAGTTTGCTTTCCTTCCACCCCACAGTTGCCTTGACCTCCCATTTCAAGACTTCCTGCCGCCTTGGGCTGGCCCACGTGGACCAAGGTACTCCGTGGGCATGAACTAGGGACCCCCGGGGTCGCCTGAGTCCCACGCATGCGCGGTGGGGAGGCACTTTCACCCGTCGAGGGGGGACCTCTGCCTTGCCGTTTGTTTTTCCCTTCCACAACACAGGTGCCTCGACCTCCCCTTTCAAGCCTTCCTGCTGCCTTAAACTGGCCCCTGTGGTCCCAACGCACTCTGTGGGCATGAACCAGGGATGCCCAGGGTCCCCTGGGCCATGGGCATGCATGGTGGGGAGGCACCTGTGCCCGTGGTGAAGACCTCTGCCTCGCCATTTGTGTTTTCCTTCAACACCACAGGTGCCTCGACCTCTCATTTCAAGCCTTCCTTCCACTTCGGGCTGGCCCCCATGGGATTGAGGCGCTCTGTGGGTGCAAATCAGAGATGCCCAAGGTCCCCTGGTCCCCATGCATGTGCAGTGGGGAGGCACTTTCGGCCGTGGGGAGGCACTTCTGCCATGCCATTTGTTTTTTCCTTCCACGCCACTGTGCCTCGACCTCCACTTTCAAGCCTTCCTGCTGTCTTCGGCTGGCCCCCGTGGGCCGAGGCACTCCATGTGCATGAGCCAGGGATGCCCAGGGTGTCCTGGGCCCCATGAATGCCTGCTGTGGAGGCACTTTCTCCCATTGGTGGGGGAACTCTACCTTGCCATTTGTATTTTCCTTCCACAATACAGGTGCCTCGACCTCCCTTTTCAATCTTTTCTGCCGCCTTGGTCTGACCGCTGTTGGCCTGAGACACTCCGTAGGTGTGAACCAGGGATGCCTAGTGTCCCCTGGGCCCCACGCATGCACAGTGGGGAGGCACTTTCGCCAGTGAGGAGGAAACTCTGCCTCGCCATTTGTGTTTTCCTTCTACAACACAGGTGTCTCGACCTCCCCTTTCAAGATTTCCTGCTGCCTTAGCCTGGACCCCGTGGGCCTAAGGTGCTCCATGGGCATGAATCAGTGATGCCCAGGTTCCCCTGGGCCCCTGCATGCGTGGTTGGGAGGCACTTGCGCTCTGGGGGGGAATATTTGCCTCACCGTTTGTGTTTTCCTTCCACAACACAGGTGCCTCAACCTCCTCTTTCAAGCCTTCTTGCCACCTTGTGCTGGCTCCCATGGCCGAGGTGCATTGTAGGTGCAAACACAGGATGCTCAGGATCACCGGGTCCATGCATGCATGGTGGGGAGGCACTTTCGCCCATGTTGGGGGACCTATTCCCTGCCATTTGTGTTTTCCTTCCACACCACAGGTGCCTCGACTTTCCCTTTCAAGACATCTTGCCACCTTGGGCTGGCCCCTGTGGGTGTGAGGCACTCCATGGGCATGAACCAGGGATGCTCAGGATCCCCTGGGCCCCACGTATGCATGGTGGGGAGGCACTTTCGCCTGTGGGGCGGGACCTCTGCCACGCCATTTGTGTTTTCCTTCCACAACACAGTTGCCTCGACCGCCCCTTTCAAGCATTCCTGCCTCATTGGGCTGGCCCCCATGGGCCGAAGCACTCAGTGGGCACAATGCAGGGACCCACAGGTCCCCTGGGCCCCATGCATGCACAATGGGGAGGCATTTTCGCCCGTGGGGGACTTCTGCTGCGCCATTTATGTTTTCCTTCCACAACACAGGTGCATCGACCTCCCTTTTCAAGTCTCCCTGCCGACTTGGGCTGGCACACATGGGCCCGAGGTGCTCCCTGGGCACAAATCAGGGATGCCCAGGGTCCCCTGGGCCATGTGCATTCGCGGTTGGAAGGCACTTTCTACCGTGGAGGGGACCTCTGCCTCACTGTTTGTGTTTTCCTTCCACAATACAGGTGCCTTGACCTCCCCTTTCAAGAACTCCTGCCACCTTTGGCTGGCCCCCATGGGCCCAAGGCTCTCCGTGGGCACAAACCAGGGAAGCCCTGCGTCCCCTGGGGTCCACGCATGCGTGGTAGGGAGGCACTTTCCCCTGTCGGGGGGGGGACTCTGCCTTGCTGTTTGTGATTTCCTTCCACAACACAGGTGTTTTGACCTCCCCTTTCAAACCTTCCTGATGCCTTAAGCTGGCCTCCGTTTTCCTAAGGTGCTCTGTGGACAAATGCCAGGCACACCCAGGGTCCCCTGGACCTCACGCATGCGCAGTGGGGAGGCACTTTCTCCCGTGGAGGGGAACTCTGCCTCGCCGTTGGTGTTTTCCTTCCACAACACTGATTCCTCGACCTCCCATTTAATACCTTCCCGACACCTTGGGCTGGCCTCCGTGGGCCTGAGGCTTTATGTGAGCATGAACCAGAGATGCCCAAGGTCCCCTGGGCCCCGTGCATGCATGGTGGGGAGGCACTCTTGCCCATGGGTGGCAACCTCTGCCGTGCTGTTTCTGTTTTCCTTCCACAACACAGTTGCCTCGATCTCCCTTTCAAGCTTTCCTGTTGCCTTGGGCTGGCCCCTGTGGGCCCGAGGCACTCCGTGGAGCAAACCAAGGATGCCCAGGGTCCCCTCGGCCTCGCGCATGTGTGGTGGGTAGGCACTTTCACCCGTTGGGGGGGACCTCTGCCATGCCATTTGTGTTTTCCTTCCACACCACAGGTGCCTCGACCTCCCATTTCAAGCCTTCCTGCTGCCTTGGGCTGGCCTCCGTGGGTCAAGGCCATCTTAGGGCACAAACCAGGGTCTCCCAGGGTCTCCTGGGCCCCAGGCATGCACGGTGG
This sequence comes from Homo sapiens, assembly GCF_000001405.40. NCBI lineage: Eukaryota > Metazoa > Chordata > Mammalia > Primates > Hominidae > Homo > Homo sapiens. Next base: position 34,389,209 of record NC_000012.12, on the reverse strand, counting down.
GGAGGCATTGTCGCCCGTTGGGGGGGAAATCTGCCTCACCATTTGTGTTTTCCTTCCACATCGCAGGCCCTGGACATCCGTGGTTCATGCCTGCAGAGAGCCTCGGTCCACAGGGGCCAGCCCAAGGTGGCAGGAAGGCTTGAAAGGGGAGGTCTATGCACCTGTGTTGTGGAAGGAAAACACAAATGGCAAGGCCGAGGTGCCCCAACACTGGCAAAAATGACCCCCACCATGCATGCATGGGGCCCAGGGGACACTGGGCATCCCTGATTCACACCCACAGAGTGCCTCAGACAAGGGGGCCTGTCCAAGGTGGCAGGAAGGCTTGAAATGGGAAGTCAAGGCACCTGTGCTGTGGAAGGAATACACAAACAGCGAGGCAGAGGTCCCCCCCACGGGCAGAAGTGCCTCCCCACTGCGCATGCACAGGGCCCAGGGGACCCTGGGCATCCCTGGATCACACCTTCTGAGTGCCTGGGGCCCATGGGGGCCAGCCCAAGGCGGCAGGAAGATTGAAAAGGCAGATAGATGGACCTGTGTTGTGGAAAAAAAAACAGAAACGGCACTACAGAGGTCCCCTCCACGGGCAAAAGTGCCTCCCCACTGTGCATGCGCTGGGCGCAGGGGACCCTGGGGGTCCCTGGTTCATGACCATGGAGCACCTCAGGGCCACAGGGGGCAGCCCAAGGCATCAGGAATTGTTGAAAGGGGAGGTCGAAGCACATGTGTTGTGGAAGGAAAACACAAACAGTGGGGCAGAGGTCCTCCACCACGGGCGAAAGTGCCTCCATGCACAGGCCCAGGGGAACCTGGGGGTCCCTGGTTTGTGCCCATGGAGAGCGTGGGCCCCACAGGGGTCAGTCAAAGGCGGCAGGAAAACTTGAAAGAGGAGGTCGAGGCACCTGTGTTGTGGAAGATAAACAGAAGTGGCGAGGCAGAAGTCCTCCCACCACGGGTGAAAGTGCCTCCCCATGCCACATGCATGGGGCCCAGGGCACCCTGAGCATCCCTGGGTCATGCCCACAGAGTGCGTGGGGCCCACGGGGGTCAGGAAGTCTTGAAAGGGGAGGTCGAGGCACCTGTGGTGTGAAAAGAAAACAGAAATGACATGGCCGAAAACCCCCCACAAGCGAAAGTGCCTCCCCATCGAGCATGTGCAGGGCCCAGGTTAAGCTGGGTGTCCCTGGTTTGCACCCACAGAGCGCCTCAGACCCACTGGGGCCAGCCGAAGACAGCAAGGAGTCTTGAAAGGGGTGGTTGAGGCACCTGTGTTGGGGAACAAAAACACAAATGGTAGGGCGGAAGTCCCCCCCACGGGCGAAAGTGCCTCCCCACCGCACATGCGTTGGGCTGAGGGGACCCTGGGCATTCCTGCTTTGCTCACACAGAGGGCCTTGGCCCAAGGGAGCCAGCCCAAAGAGGCAAGAAGGCTTGAAAGGGACAGTTGAGGCACCCGTGTTGTGGGAAAAAAACAGAAGCAGTGCAGCAGAGGTCCCCCACCATGGGTGAAAGTGCATACTCACCGCACATGTGTGGGGCCCCTGGTTTGTGACCACAAAGTGCCTCGGCATACGAGGGCCAGCCCAAGTTTGCAGGAATGCTTGAAAGTGGTGGTCTAGGCACCTATGGTGTGGAAGGAAAACACACGTGGCGTGGCAGAGATCCCCCCCACCACGCATGAAAGTGCCATCCCACCACTCATGCATGGGTCCTAGGGGACACTGGATGTCCCTGCTTCACAGCCACCAAGGATCTCGGCCTACGGGGACCAGCCCAAGTCAACAGGAAGGCTTGAAAGGGGAGTTCCAGGCACCTTTGGTGTGGAAGGAAAACACAAACGGCGAGGCAGAGGTCCTCCCCCCACAGGCGAAAGTGCCTCCTCATCGTGCAGGCTTGGGGCCCAGGGGAACCTGGGCATCCCTGGATCAGGCCCACAGAGTGCCTCGGCCAACGGGGGCCAGCCCAAGGCTTCAGGAAGTCTTGAAAGAGGAGGTCGAGGCACCTGTTGTGTGGAAGGAAAACAAACGGCGAGGCAGAAGTCTCCCCCTACGGGTGATTGTGACCCCCCAACCACGCATGCCCATGGCCCAGGGGACCCTTGGCATCCCTGGTTCACACCCACAGAGGACCTCGGCCCACAGGGGCCAGCCCAAAGCGGCAGGAAGGCTTGAAATGGGAGATGGATTCACCTGTGCTGTCGAAGGAAAACAGAAGTGGTGTGGCAGAGGACCCCCACCACACAGCGAAAGTCTCTACTCACCGCGCATGTGTGGACCCCAGGGGACGCTGATGTCCCCTGGTTCATGACCATGAAGCACCTTGGCACACGGGGGCCAGGCCAAGGCGGCAGGAGGGCTTGAAAGGGGAGGTCGAGGCACCCGCTGTGGAAGGAAAACAAATGGCGAGGCAAAGGTCCCCCACCACGGGCAAAAGTGTCTCCCCACCACACATGCGTGGGGCCCAGGGGACCGAGGCCATCCTAGTTCCCACCCATGGAGCACCTCGGCCCTCAGGAACCAGTCGAAGGGGGCAGGAAGGCTTGAAATGGAAGGTCGAGGCACCTGTGGTGTGGAAGGGAAACAAACAGCGAGGCAAATTTCTCTCCCCACAGGCGAAAGTGCCTCCCCACCATGCATGCGTAGGGCCCAAGGGATCCTGGGCTTCTCTGGATCAGGCCCACGGAGCGCCTCAGGTCCACAGGGGCCAGTCCAAGGCAGCAGGAAGGCTTGAAAGGGGAAGTCAAAGCAACTGTGGTGTGGACGGAAAACAAACTGCAGGGCAGAGGACCACCCAACGAGCGAAAGTGCCTCCCCACCTCTCATACGCTGGGATCAGGGGACTCTGGGCAACCATGTTTCACATGCACTGAGTGCCTCAGCCCAGAGGGGCCAGCCCAAGGCGGCAGGACATCTTGAAAGGGGAGGTCAAGGCACCTATTGTGTTGAAGGAAAACACAAATGGTGCGGTAGAGTGCCCCACCACGGTCGAAAGTGCCTCCCCACAGCGCATGCGTGGGGCTCAGGGGACCCTGGGCATCCCTAGTTCATGCCGAAAGAGGGCCTCAGCCCACGGGGGCCAGCCCCAGGCAGCAGGAATGCCTGAAAGGGGAGCTCGAGGCATCTGTGTTGTGGAAGGAAAACACAAAAGGCTGGGCAAAGGTCCCCCCCCCACGGGAGAAAGTGCCACACCACTGCACATGCGTGTGGCCCAGGGGACCCTGAGCATCCCTACTTCATGCCCACGAAGCATCTCTGGCCCTTAGAGGTCAGCCCAAGTGGCATGAACTCTTGAAAGGGGAGATCGAGGCACCTGTGATGTGGAAGGAAAACAGAAACGGCGAGGCAGAGGTACCCCCCACGAATGAAAGTGCCTCCCCACCGCGCATTCGTGAGGCCCAGGGGACCCTGGGCGTCGCTGGTTCAGGGCCATGGAGCACCTTGGCCAACGGGGGCCAGCCCAAGGCAGAAGGAAGTCTTGAAAGTGGAGGTCAAGGCACCTGTTGTGTGGAAGGAAAACACAAATGCTGAGGCAGAGGTCCTTCCCAAGGGGTGACTGCGCCTCCTCACTGTGCATGACGAAGTCCCAGGGGACCCGGGATTTTCCTGGTTTGTGGCCATGGAGTGCCTTGGCCCACGGGGGCCAGCCCAAGGAGACAGGAAAGATTGAAATGGGAGCTCGATTTACCTGTGGTGTGGAAGGAAAACAGAAGTGGCACAGCAGAGGACCCCCCATGGGAGAAAGTGCCTCCCCACCGCGCATGAGTGGGGCCCAGGGAACCGTGGGCTTCCGTGGATCACGCCCACGGAGTGCCTCAGGCCTATGGGGGCCAGCCCAAGGCGGAAATAAAGCTTGAAAGGGGATGTCGAATCACCTGTGGTATGGAAGGAAAACACAGACTGCGCAGTAGAGGATCACCACATGGACAAAAGTACCTCCCCACCGTGCAAGAGCAGTGCCCAGGGTACCCTTGGTGTCCCTGGTATGTGCCCACTGAGGGCCTCGGCCCACAGGGGCCAGCCCAGGGCAACAGGAAGTCTTGAAAGGGGCAGTTGAGGCACCTGTTCTGTCAAAGGAAAATACAAACAGCGCAGCAGTGGTACCCCCCACAGGCGAAAGTGCCTCTCCACCAGAGGACCCTGGGCATCCCTGGTTCAGGCCCGCAGAGTGTCTCAGCCTACAGGGGCCAGCACAAGGAGGCAGGAAGGCTTGAAAAGGGAAGATTGAGGCACGTATGTTGTGGAAGGATAACACAAACTGCAAGGAAGAAGTCCCCGCTCACGGGCGAAAGTGCCTCCCCACCGCGCATGTGCAGAGCCCACGGGACACTGGGCACCCCTGTTTCATGCACACGGAGAGTCTCGGTCCCACGGGGGTCAGCCCCAGTGGCAGGAAGACTTGAAGGGGAGGTCGAGGCACCTGTGGAGTGGAAGGAAAACACAAACAGTGAGGCAGAGTTCACCCCACTGGCGAAAATCCCTCTCTACCACACATGGGTGGGGTCCAAGGGACCCTTGGCATCCCAGGTTCACAGTCATGGAGCGCCTGGGCCCAAGGAGGCCAGCCCAAGGCGGCAGGAACTCTTGAAAGGTGAGGTGGAGACACCTGTGGTGCGGAAGGAAAACACAAGTAACGCAGCAGAGGTTCCCCCAAGGGGAAACTGCCTCCCCACTGCTCAAGTGCAGAGCCCAGGGAACCCTGGGCATCCCTGGTTAGTGCCCATGGAGCACCTACACACATGGGGCCAGGCCAAGGCTGCAGGAAGGCTTGAAAGGGGTGGTCGAGGCACCTGTGTTGTGGAAGAAAAATCACAAATGGCGAGGCAGAGGTCCCCCTCACGGGCGAAAGTGCCTCCACATCGCACATGCGTGGGACCCAGGGGAACCTGGGCATCACCGGTTTTTGCCCACGAAGCGCTTCGGGATCACAGGGTCCAGCCCAAAGCGGCAGGAAGGCTTGAAAAGGGAGGTCGAGACACCTGTGTTGCAGAAGGAAAACACAACCGGTGAGGCAGAGGTCCCTTCCCACGGACGAAAGTGCCTCCCCACCGCACATGGATGGGGCCAGGGGACCCTGGGCGTCCCTGCTTCACTCCCACGGAAGGCTTTGGCCTATGGGGACCAGCCCAAGGTGGCAAGAAGCCTTGAAAGGGGAGGTCGAGGCACCAGTGATTTGGAAAAAAGCAAACAGCCCAGCAGAGGTCCCCACGACGGGCAAAAGTGCCTCCTCACCGTGCAAACGCGGGCCCCAGGGGTCCCTGAGGGCCCCTGAATCGCAACCATGAATCGCATTCTTACACGGGGGCCAGACCAAGGCGGCAGGAAGGCTTGAAAGGGGAGGTCAAGGTACCTGTGGCGTGGAAGGGAAACACAAACGGTGAGGCAAAGTTCCCATCCCATGGGCGAAAGTGCCTCTCCGCCACGCATGTGTGGGACCTAGGGGAACCTGTGCATCCCTTGCTCATGCCCACAGAGAGCCTCCGGCCCATGGGGCCCAACCCAAGGCGGCAGTAAGGCTTGAAAAGGGAGGTCGAGGCACCTTGTGCTGTGGAAGGAAAACAGAAACAGCGCGGCAGAGTTCCCCCTCCGGCAGGCGGCAGTCCCTCCCCGCTGTGCATGCGTGGGACCCAGTGGACCCTGGGCATCCCTGTTTCATGGCTACGGAGTGCCTCGGTCCCACGGAGGCCATCCCTATGCGGCTGGAAGGCTTGAAAGGGGAGGTCGAGGCACCTGTGTTATGGAATGAAAACACAAACGGGGAAGCAGAGGTCCCCCCCACGGGCGAAAGTGCTCCCCACTCCCACCCATGGAGCACCTCAGGCCCACGGGGGCCAGCCCAAGGCGGCAGGAAGGCTTGAAATGGGAGGTCGAGGCACCTGTGGTGTGGAAAGAAAACACAAACGGCGAAGCAGGGGTTCCCCACCCCCCCGCCACGGGAAAAAGTGCCTCCCCACCGGGCATAAGCAGGGCCCAGGGGACCCTGGGCATCCCCGGTTTGTGCCCATGGAGAGTCTCGGCCCATGGGGTCCAGCCCAAGGCAGCAGGAAGTCTTGAAAGGGGAGGTCCAAGCACCTGTGTTGTGGAAGGAAAACACAAACGAGGCAGAGGTCCCCCTCTCACGGGTTAAAGTGCCTCCCCGCCACGCATGGGCAGGGCCCAAGGGATCTTGGACGTCCCTGGTTCACGCACACGGAGATCCTTGGCCCACAGAGGCCAGCCCAAGGCAACAGGAAGTCTTGAAAGGGGAGGTCGAGGAGCCTGTGGTGTGGAAGGAAAACACAAACGGTGTGGCAGAAGTCTTCCCCACGGGTGAAAGAGCCTCCCCACCGCACATGTGGAGGGCCCAGGGGACCCTAGGAATCCCTGGTTCATGCCCACGAGGGCCTCGGGCCCATGAGGGCCAGCCCAAGGCGGCAGGACGACTTCAAAGGGGAGGTCCAGTCACCTGTGTTGTGGAAGGAAAACAAATGGCGAAGCAGAGGTGCCCCCGTCAGGGGAGAAAATGGCTCACCACCATGCATGCCCAGGGTCCAGGGGACCCCGGGCATCCCTGGTTCATGACATGGAGCTCCTAGGCCCACGAGGGTCAGCCCAAGGCAGCAGGAAGTCTTGAAATGAGAGGTCGAGGCACCTGTGGTGTGGAAGGAAAATACAAATGGTGAGGCAGAGGTCACCCACCACGGGCGAAATTGCTGCCCTACCGCACATGCGTGGGGCCCAGGGGACCCTGGGCATGCCAGCTTCACACCCATGGAGTGCTCATGGCTCAAGGGGACCAACACAAGGAAGATGGAAGCCTTGAAAGAGGAGGTCGAGGCACCTGTGTTATGGAAGGAAAACACAAACGCGAGGCACAGGTCCCCCCAAAGGCGAAAGTTCCTCCCCACCGTGCATGCATGGGGCCCAAGGGACCCTGGGCAGCCCTGCTTCATGCCCACAGAGAACCGCAGGCCCATGGGGGCCAGCCCACGGTGGCAGGAAGGCTTGAAAGGGAAGATGAGGCACCTGTGGTGTGGAAGGAAAACACAAATGGTGTGGCAGAGGTTTCCACCCCACGGGCGAAAGTGCCTCCCAACCGTGCATGCAGGGGACCCAGGGAACCCTGGGCATCCCTGGTTCACGTCAAAGGAGGGCCTCAGCCTATGGGGGCCAGCCAAAGGCGGCAGGAATGCTTGAAATGGGAGGTAGAGGCACCTGTGCTGTAGAAAGAAAACACAAACGGCGAGGCAAAGGTCCCCCCTCATGGGCGAAAGTGCCTACCCACCACACATGCATGGGGCCCATATGACCCTGGGCATCCCTGGTTCATGACCACAGAGCACCTCTGCTCACGGGGTCCAGCCCAAGGCAGCAGGAAGGCTTGAAATGGGAGGTCGAGGCACCTGTGGTGTGGAAGGAAAACATAAACGGCGTGGCAGAGGTCCCCCCCAAGGGCGAAAGTGCCCCCCACCATGCAGGCCCAGGGATCAGTGGACCCTGGGCGTCCCTGATTCATACCCATGGAGCACCTCATCACATGCAGGACAGCCCAAGGCTGCAGGAAGGCTAGAAAGGGGAGGTCGAGGCACCTGTGTTGTGGAAGGAAAACGCAAAGGGTGAGACAGAGGTCCCTTCCTACGGGCGAAATTGCCTACCTACCGTGCATGCATGGGGCAAAGAGGACCCTGTATGTCCCTGATTGGTGCCCAGGGAGTGCCTCAGGTCCACGGGTGCCAGCCCAAGGCGGCAGGAATGCTTGAAATGTGAGGTGGAGGCACCTGTGTTGGGGAAGAAAAACACAAGCGATGCGGCAGAGGTCCACAAACACGGCCGAAAGGGTCTCCCCACCGCACATGCGTGGAGCCCAGGGGACACTGGGAGTCCCTGGTTCACGCCCATGGAGGGCGTCAGGCCCACGGGGTCAGCCCACAGCAGCAGGGAGGCTTGAAAGGGGAGGTCGAGGCACCCGTGGTGTGGAAGGAAAACAAAAACAACGTGACAGAGGTCCCCCTATGGGCGAAAGTGCCTCCTCATCACACACTCACGGAGCCATGGGGACCCTGGGTGTCCCTGGCTCATGCCTAAGGAGTGCCTGGGCATACGGGGACCAGCTCAAGGTGGCAGGAAGTCTTGAAAGAGGAGGTCAAGTCACCTGTGGTGTGGAAGGAAAACAAATGGTGAGGCAGAGGTCTCTTCCATGGGCCAAAGTGCCTCCCCACCGCAGATGCATGGGGCCAGGCGACCCTGGGTGTCCGTGGTTCATGCCCACGGAGTGCCTCGGGCCCACGGTGGCCAGCCCAAGGCGGCAGGAAGGCTTGAAAGCAGAGGTCGAGGAACCTGTGTTGTGGAAGGAAAACGGAAAAGGTACAGCAGAGGTCCCAAACTATGGGCAAAAGTGCCTCCCTACCATGCATGCGTGGGGCCCAGGAGACCCTGGGCATCCCTGGTTTGTGCTCTCATAGTGCCTTGGGCCCTCGGGGGCCAGCCCAAGGTGACAGGAAGACTGGGAAGGGGAGGTCGAGGCACCTGTGTTGTGGAAGGAAAACAAAAACGGCAAGTCAGAGGTCCCCCCAAGGGAGAAAGTGTCTCCCCACCGCACATGCGAGGGGCCCAGGGGACCCTGGGCATCCCTGATTCATACCCATGGGGCGTCTTGGCTAACAGGGGCCATCCGAAGGCGGCAGGATGCCTTGAATGGGGAGGTCAAGGCACCTGTGGTATGGAAGGAAAACAAACTGTGCGGTAGAGGTCCCCCACCACAGGCAAAAGTGCTTCCCCACCGCACATGCTCATGGCCCAGGGGACACTGGTCATCCCTAGTTCGTGCCCACAGAGTGCCTCCACCCATGGGGGCCAGCCCAAGGTGGCAGGAAGGCTTGAAATGGGAGTTCGAGGCACCGTGGTGTGGAAGGAAAAACAAATGGTGCGGCAGAGGTCTCCACCCATTGGCAAGAAGTGCCTCCTCACCACACATGCACGGACCCCAGGAGAGTCTCCTGTGCATCTTTGGTCCGCACCCTTGGAGCACCTCCAGCCCACGGGGCCAGCTCAAGGCTGCAGGAAGGCTTGAAAGGGTTTGTCCTAGTTGTGGAAGGAAAACACAAACGGTGACGCAGACGTCCCCCAACACGGGCGAAAGTGCCTACCCACCATGCATGCAGGTGGCCCAGGGGACGCTAGGCTTCCCTGGTTCACACCCACAGAGTGCCTCGAGCCCACAGGTGCCAGCTCAAGGCGGCAGGAAGGCTTGAAATGGGAGGTCGAGTCACCTGTGTTTTGGAAGGAAAACAAATGGCGAGAGTGAGCTCCCCACACAAGGGCGATAATGCTTCCCCACCGAGCATGCGTGTGGCCCAGGGGACCCTGGGCATCCCTGGTTCATGCCCGCAGAGCACCTTGGGTCCATGGGGGCCAGCTCAAGGCGGCAGGACACTTGAAAATGGAGATCGAGTCACCTGTGTTGTGGAAGGAAAACAGAAACGGCCTGGCAGGGGTCCCACCCCACGGGCAAAAGTGCTTCCCCACCACGCATGCATGGGGCCTGGGGACCCTGGGTGTCCCTGGTTCATGCACACGGAGCGCCTCGAGCCCACAGGAGCCAGCCCAAGGCGGCAGGAGGCCTTCAAAGTGGAGGTCGAGACACCTGTGTCGTGGAAGGAAAACACAAACGGCGTGGCAGAGATACCGCCCCAAGGGCGAAATTGCCTCCCCAAGGCACACGCGTGGGGCGCTGGGGACCCTGGGTGTCCCCTGTTCATACCCACGGAGCACCAAGGACCCACAGGTGCCAGCCTAAGATGGCAGGGAGGCTTGAAAGGGGAGGTTGAGGCACCTATGTTGTGAAAGGAAAACACAAACAGCGAGGCAGAGGTCCCTCCACGGGCAGAAGTGCATCCCCACTGCGCATGCGCAGGGCCCTCGTCACCCTGTGCATCCTGGTTGGTGCCCAGCGAGTGCATCGACCCCACAGGGGCCAGCCTAAGGTGGCAGGAAGGCTTGAAAGGGGAGGTCGAGGCACCTGTGTTGTGGAAGAAAAACACAAATGGTGAGGCAGAGGTCCCCTCCACGGACGAAAGTGAGTCCCCACAGCGTATGTGCAGGACCCTTGTCATCCTGTGCAACCTGGTTGGTGCCCAGGAAGTGCCTCGGGCCTACTGGTGCCAGCCCAAGGCGGCAGGAAGGCTTGAAAGGGGAGGTCGAAGCATCTGTGTTGTAGAAGGAAAACACAAACAGTGAGGGAGAGGTCACCGCACAGGGGCGAAAGGGCCTCCCCACCGCGCATACGCAGGGCCCAGGGGATGCAAGGCATCCCTGATTCGTGCCCACAAAGTGGCTCCAGCCCACATGTGCCAGCCCAAGGCGGCAGGAAGGCTTGAAAACAGAGGTCGAGGCAGCTGTGGTGTGAAAGGAAAACACAAACTAAATGGCAGAGGTCCCCCCCATGGGCGAAAGTGCCTCCCCATAACGCATGCCTGGGGACCAGGGGACCCTGGGCGTCCCTGGCTTGTGCATAACGAGTGCCTAGGCCCACAGGGACCAGCCCAAGGTGGCAGGAACTCTTGAAAGGGGAGGTTGAGGCACCCGTGGTGTGGAAGACAAACGGCGCGGCAGAGATCCACACCCATGGGCGAAAGTGTCTCACCACCGTGCATGCACGAGGCCCAGAGGACACTGGGCGTCCCTGGTTCACGCCCACAGAGCGCCTGGGGCCCACGGGGGCTAGCCCAAAGTGGCAGAAAGGCTTCAAAAGGGAGCTCGAGGCACCTGTTTTGTGGAAGGGTAACACAAACGGCCAGGCAGAAGGTCCCCACCAAGGGCAAAAGTGCCTCACCACAGCGCATGCATGGGGCCCAGGGTACCCTGGGCGTCCCTCATTTGTGCTCAAGGAGCGACCCAGTCCCACGGGGGCCAGCTGAAGGCGACAGGAAGTCTTGAATGTGGAGGTCCAGGCACCCTTTGAGTGGAAGGAAAACACAAACAATGCGGCAGAGGTCCCCCCCACAGACAAAAGTGCCTCCCCATCGCGCATACACGCAGCCCAGGGGACACTGGGCATCCCTAGCACGTGCCCAACGAGTGCCTAGGCCCATGGGGACAAGCCCAAGGTGGCAGGAAGTCTTGAAACGGGAGGTGGAGACACCTGTGGTGTGGAAGAAAAACACAAATGGCATGTGAGAGGTCCCCCCAACGAGCGAAAGTGTATCCCCACCTCACATGCGTGGGGCCCAGGCGACCCTGGGCATCCCTCGTTCATGCCCACAGAGGGCCTATTCCCACAGGGGCCAGCCCAAGGCCGCAGGAAAACCTGAAAGGGGAGGTCAAGGCGCCTGTGATGTGGAAGGGAAACACAAACGGCGAGGCAGAGGTCCCGCCCCACAAGCAAAAGTAATTCCCAACCAAGCATGCGCAGTGCTCAGGGTACCCTGTCATCCGTGGTTCATGCCCACAGAGAGCCTCAGGGACATGGGAGCCAGCCCAAGACGGTAGGAATGCTTGAAAGGGGAGGTCGAGGCAACTGTGTTGTGGAAGTAAAACAGAAACGGTGAGGCAGAGTTCCCCACCCCCACCCCCACCCCCACAGGCAAAATTCCCACCCCGCCATGCATGCGTGGGGCCCAAGGGACCCTAGATGTCCCTGGTTCACAACAATGGGGCTCCTTGGGCCCACGGGGTTCAGCCCAAGGCGGCAGGAAGGCTTGAAAGGGGAGGTCGATTCACCTGTGTTGTGGAAGGAAAACAAACGGCGCGGCAGAGGTCCCACACCATGGGCGTAAGTGCCTCCCCACTGCGCATGCGTGTTGCCCAGGGGACCCTGGGCATTCTTGGTTCATGGTCACGGAGCGCCTTGGGTCCACAAGGGGCCAGCCCAAGGCGGCAGGAAACTTGAAAGGGGAGGTCGAGACACCTGTGTTGTGGAAGGAAAACAGAAACGGCCTAGCAGTAGTCCCACCACAAGGGCGAAAGTGCCACCGCACCGCGCATTCGCGGGGCCCAGGGGACCCTGGGCAACCCTGGTTCATGCCCACGAAGGGCCTTGGCCCGCAGGGTCCAGTCCAAGTCCTCAGGAAGGCTTGAAAGGGGAGGTCGAGGCACCTGTGTTGTGGAAGGAAAACACAAACAGCGAGGCAGAGGTCACACAACATGGGCGAAAGTGCCTCCCCATCGCGCATGTGCAGGGCCCAGGGGAACCTGGGTGTCCCTGGTTGGTGCCCAGGGAGTGCCTTGGGCCCACGGGTGCCAGCCCAAGGCGCCAGGAAGTCTTGAAAGGGGAGGTCGAGGCACCTATGTTGTGGAAGAAAAAGACAAACGGCAAGGTAGAAGTCCACACCCACGGGCTAAAGTGTCTCCCCACCGTGCATGCGCAGGGCTCACGGGACCCGGGGGTCCCTGATTCACACCCACAGAGCACCTCGGGGGCATAGAAGCAAGCCCAAGGAGTCAGGAAGGCTTGAAAGGGGAGGTCAAGGTACCTGTGTTGTGGAAGGATAACACAAAGGACGAGGCAGAAGTCCCGCACCAAGGGCGAAAGTGTCTCCGCACCACGCATGCACAGGGCCCAGGGAACCCTGGCTGTCCCTGGTTGGCGCCCACTGAGAGCCTCGGCCCCATGGGGCCAGCCCAAGGAGACAGGAAGGCTTGAAAAGGGAGGTCGAAGCCCTTGTATTGTGGAAGGAAAACAAATGGCAAGGCAGAGGTCCCCCCACCACGGGGGAAAATGCCTCCCCACAGCTCATGTGCGGGGCCCAGGGGACCCTGGGCATACCTGATTCACGTCCACGGAGCGCCTCGGTCCTGCCCGCGGGTGCCAGGCCAAGGCGGTAGGACAGTTGAAAGGGGAGGTCGATTCACCTGTGTTGTGGAAGGCAAACACAAACGGCGAGACAGAGGGCCCCCTGTCGATGAAATTGCCGCCCCACTGGGCATGCGCAGGGCCCAGGGAACCTGGGTTTCCCTGGTTCGTGCCCACAGAGAGCCTTGGGCCCACAGGGGCCAGCCTAAGTTGACAGGAAGGCTTGAAAGGGGAAGTCGAGGCAACTGTGTTGTGGAATAAAAACAAAAACTGTGCGGCAGAAGTTCCCCCCAAGGGCGAACGTGCCTCCCCACCGTGCATGCATGGAGCCCTGGGGACTTTGGGCATCCCTGGGTCATGCTCAAGGAGCAACTGGGGCCCACGAGGGCCACCCCAAGGCGGCAGCAGGGCTTGAAAAGTGTCGTCCAGGCACCTGTGTGGTGGAAGGAAAACACAAAGGGCGATGCAGAGGTCCCCCCCGCAGGGGTGAAAGTGCCTCCACACCGCACATGCACAGGGCCCAGGGTACCAAGGGCATCCCTAGTTCATGTCCACAGAGCACCTTGGGCCCACGGAGGCCAGCAAGGCGGCAGGAAGGCTTGAAAGGGGATGTCGAGGCACCTGTGTTGTGGAAGGAAAACACAAATGGCGAGGCATAGACCACACCACGGGCAAAATTGCCTCCCCACTGTGCATCTGCAGGGCCCAGAGGACCCTGGGAATCCCTGGTTTGCGCCCTCAGAGCTCCTGGGGCACACAGGGGCCAGCCAAAGGCGGCAGGAAGGCTTGAAAGGGAAAGTCAAGGCACCTGTGTTGTGGCAGGAAAACAGAAACGGCGTGGCAGAGGTCCCACCCCACGGGCGAAAGTTCCTGCCCACTGCGAATGCGCAGGGCCCAGGGGACCCTGGGCGTCCCTGGTTCGCACCCATGGAGTGCCTTGGGTCCATGGGAGCAAGCCCAAGGTGGCAGGAAGGCTTGGAAGGGGAGGTCGAGGCCCCTGTGTTGTGGAAAGAAAACAAACCACGCGTCAAAGTTCCCCCTCAATGTGAGAAAGTCCCTCTCTACCGCCCATGGGCAGGGCCCAGGGGACCCTGGGCTTCCCTGGTTTGTGCCCACAGAGTGCCTCGGGCCCACAGGAGCCAGCCCAAGGCGGCAGAAAGGCTTAAAAAAGGAGGTCAAGACGTCTGTGTCGTGGAAGGATAACACAAATGGCAAGAGAGAAGTCCCCCACCAAGGGCAAAAGTGCCTATCTACCGCGCATGCATGGGACCCAAGCGCCTCGGCCCATAGGGGCCACCCCAATGCGGCAGGAAGGCTTGAAAGGGGAAGTCAAGGCACCTGTGTTGTGGAAGGAAAACACAAACGGTGAGGCAGAGGCCCCCCCCCACCCATGGGCGAAAATGCCTCTGCACCGCGTATGCACAGGGTCCAGCAGACTCTTGGCATCCCTGCTTCTCACCCACAGAGCACATCGGGCCCACAGGAGCCAGCCAAAGGTGGCAGGAAGGCTTGAATAGGGAGGTTGAGGCACCTGTGGTGTGGAAGGAAAACACAAATGGCGTGGCAGAAGTTCCCCACCACGGGAGAAAATGCCTCCCCACCGCACATGCACAAGGCCCAGGGGACCCTTGGTGTGCCTGGTTCATGCCCATGGAGAGCCTGAGAACACAGGGGCCAGCCCAAGGCGGCAGGAAGGCTTGAAAAGGGAGGTCGAGTCACATGTGTTGTGGAAGGAAAACACAAACGGCGAGGCAGAGGTCACCCACCACAGGTGAAGATGCCTGCCCACCGCACATGTGCAGGACCCAGGGGACCCTGGGCATCCCTGGTTCACACCCACAGAGCGCCTTGGGCCTGCGGTGGCCAGGTCAAGGCTGTAGGAATGCTTGAAAGGGTAGGTCGATTCACATGGGTTGTGGAAGGAAACACAAATGGCGAGACAGATGTTCGCCCCCCGTGAAGAAATTGCCTCCCCACCGTACATGCGTGGGGCCTAGGGAAACCTGAGCATCCCTGGTTCATGCACACGGAGGACCCCTTTCCCACAGGGGCCAGCCCAAGGCGAAAGGAAGGTTGAAAGGGGAGTTTGAGGCACCTGTGTTGTGGACGGAAAACAGAAACGGCCAGGCAGAGGTCCCCGCACAAGGACGTAAGTGCCTCCCCACCGCGCAGTCGCGGGTCCCAGGCGACCCTGGGCATTACTGGTTCACGCCCACGGAGAGCCTTGGTGCACGGGGGCCAGCCCAAGGCGGCAGGAAGTCCTGAAAAGGGAGTTCGAGGCACTAGTGGAGTGGAAGGAAAACAAAATGGCGCCGCAGAGGTCCCCACCCACGGGCGAAAGTGCCACTCCACCGCGCATGCGTGGGGCCCAGGTGACCCTGGGCATCCCTGGTTCATAACCACAGAGCACCTCGGACCCACTGGGGCCAGCCGCAGTCAGCAGGAAGTCTTGAAAGAGGAGGTCGAGGCACCTATGTTGTGGTAGGAAAACACAAATGGCGAGGCAGAGGTCCCCCGCACGGGCGAAAGTGCCTCCCCTTCGCGTATGCATGGGGCCCAGGGGTCCCCTGATTCACGCCCATGGAGTGCCTCGGCCCACGGTGGCCAGCCCAAGGCGGCAGAAAGCCTTAAAATGGGAGGTCGAAGCACCTGTGGTGTGGATGGAAAACCCAAACGCCACAGAAGAGGTCCCCCAATAAGGGCGAAAGTACCCCCCACCACACTTGCTCAGGGACCAGGGGACGCTGAGCATCCCTGGTTCATCCCCACAGAACGTCTTGGCCCACGGGGGGCCACCCCAAGGCGGAAGGAAGGCTTGAAAGAGGAGATCGAGGCACCTGTGGAGTGGAAGGAATACAAACAGCGCAGCAGAGTTCCCCCCCCCCCCCACGGAGGAAAGTGCCACCCCACCGTGCATGCTTGGGGGCCAGGGGATGCTGGGCATCCCTGGTTCTTGCACAAGGATCTCGTCAGCCCAAGGGGTCCAGCCAAAGGTGGCAGGAAGTCTTGAAACGGGAGGTCAAGTCACCTGTGGGGTGGAAGGAGAAATCAAACAGCGCGGCAGAGGTCCCCCCACCACGGGCGAAAGTGCCTCCCCAGTGCACATGCACGGGGCCCAGGGGACCCTGGGCGTCCCTGGTTCGTGCCCACAGAGCACCTCAGGCCAATGGGGGCCAGCCCAAAGCGGAAGGATGTCTTGAAAGGGGAGGTGGAGGCACCTGTGATATGGAAGGAAAACACAAATGGCGAGGCAGAGGTCGCCTCCATGAGCGAAAGTGCCTCCCCACCGCAGATGCGCGGGGCCCAGGGTACCATGGGAGTGCCTGGTTCATGTCTACAGAGTGCGTCGGGCCCACGGGGGCCAGCCTAAGGCGGCAGGAAGGCTTGAAATGTGAGGTTGAGGCACCTGTGTTGTGGAAGGAAAACACAAACGGCGAGGCAGAGGTCCCCCCACACGGGTGAAAGTGCCTCCCCACTGCTCATGCATGGGGCCCAGGGGACCCTGGGCATCCCTTGTTCGTGCCAACATAGCGCCTCAGCCCACAGGGGTAATCCCAACGCGGCAGGAAGGCTTGAAAGGGGAGGTCAAGGCGCCTGTCTTGTGGAAGGAAAACACAAAGGGCGAGGCAAAATTCCCCAGCCACGGGCGAAAGTGCCTCCCCACCACGCATGCATGGGGCCCATGGGACCCTGGGTGCCCGTGGTTCGTGCCCACATAGCGCTTCAGCCCACAACGGTCAGCCAAATGAGGCAGGAAGGCTTGAAAGGGGAGGTCAAGGTGCCTGTGTTGTGGAAGGAAAACACAAAGGGCGAGGAAGAGTTTCCCCCCCATGGGCGAAAGTGCTTCCCCACCACGCATGGGCGGGGCCCAGTGGACCGTGGGCATACCTGCTTCACACCTGTGGGGGAAGGGCACCTTGGCCCAAGGGGGACAGGGCCAAGGCAGCAGGAATGCTTGAAAGGGGAGGTCGAGGCACCTCTGTTGTGGAAGGAAAACACAAACGGAGAGACAGATGGCCCTATGCCACGGGAGAAAGTGCTTCCCCACCATGCATGCGTGGGGCCCAGGGTACCCTCGGTGTCCCTGGTTCACAGACACGGAGCTCCACGGCCCACGGGGGCCAGCCCAAGGCGGCAGGAAGTCTTGAAATGAGAGGTAGAGGCACCTGTGTTGTGGAAGGAAAACATAAACTGCACGGCAGAGGGACCCCCCATGGGTGAAAGTGCCACCCTACCGCGCATGTGCAGGACCTAGGAGACTTTGGGCTTCCCCGATTTACACCCACGAAGCGCGTTGGCTCACCAGGGCCCGTCCAAGGAGGCAGGAAGTCTTGAAAGGGGAGGTCGAGGCACCTGTGGTATGGAAGGAAACCACAAAGGACGTGGCAGAGGTCCCCCGCCACGGACGAAAGAGCCTCCCCACCGTGCATGCGTGGTGCCCAGGGGACCCTGGGGGTCCCTGCTTCATGCTGACGGAGCGCCTCGGCTCACGGGGACAAGCTGAAGGTGGCAGGAAGGCTTGAAAAGGGAAGTTGAGGCACCTGTGGTGTGGCAGGAAAACACAAATGGTGCAGCAGAGGTCTCCTCTGATGGACCAAAGTGCCTCCCCACCGTGCATGCAAGGGGTCCAGGGTACCGTGGGCGTCCCTGGTTCGCACCCACGGAGCGCCTCGGCCCACGGAGTCCAGCCCAAGATGGCAGGAAGGCTTGAATACGGAGGTCGAGGCATCTGTGTTGTGGAAGGAAAAGAAAAACGGCGTGGCAGAGGTCCCCCACACGGTCGAAAGTGCCTCCCCTCCACGCATGCACAGGGTCCACGGGACTCTGAGTGTCCCTGGTTCAGGCCCATGGAGTACCTCAGCCCACGGGCGCCAGCCCAAGGTGGCAGAAAATCTTGAAAGGGGATGTCGAGGCACCTGTGTTGAGGAACGAAAACACAAACTTTGTGGCAGAGGTTCCCCCCAGCCACGGGGGAAAGTGACTATCCACCACGCATGTTCAGGGCCCAGGGGACCCTGGGCATCCCTGGTTCATGCCCACGGAGCACCTGGAGCACACACAGGGTGAGCCCAACGCGTCATGAATGCTTGAAAAGGGAGGTCGAGGCACCTGTGTTGTGAAAAGAAAACACAAACAGTGAGGCAGAGGTCCCCTCTCAAAGGCGAAAGTGCCTCCCCACCACGCACGCGCGGGACCCAGGGGACACAGGGCATCCCCCATTCTTGCCCATGGAGCACCTCAGCCCACGGGGGCCAGTTTAAGGAGGCAGGAAGGCTTGAAAGGGGAGGTCGAGGCCCCTGTGGTGTGGAAGGAAAACACAAACGACACAGCAGAGGTCCCCCCCTGGCGCGAAATTGCCTTCCCACGGCACATGCGCGGTTCCCAGGGGACCCTGGGCGTCCCTGGTTCTTGCTCACGTAGCACCTCCGTTCACAGGGTAAGCCCAATGCGGCAGGAATGCTTGAAAGGGGAGGTCAAGGCGCCTGTATTGTGGAAGGAAAACGTAAAGGGCGAGGGAGAGTTCCCCCCCTACGGGTGAAAGTGCCTCCCCACCGCAAATGTGCAGGGCCCAGCAGACCCTGGGGGTCCCTGTTTTGCGCCCACGGAGCACCTCGACCCACGGGGGTCAGACCAAGGCTTCAGGAATGCTTGAAAGGGGAGGTCGAGGCACCTGTGTTGTTGAAGGAAAACACAAAAGGCGCGACAGATGTCCCACCACCACGGGAGAAAGTGCCTCCCCACCACACATGCATGGCGCCCAGGGGATCCTTGGCATCCCTGGTTCGCACTCTCAGAGCGCCACTGCCCAAGGGGGCCAGCACAAAGCGGCAAGAATTCTTGAAATGGGAGGTCGAGGCACCTGTGTTGTGAAAGGAAAACAAATGGTGCAGCAGAGGCCCTCCCCCACTTGCAAAAGTGCCTCCCCGCCGCTCATGAGTGGGGCCCAGGAAACCATGGACGTCCCTCGTTCACGACTATGGAGGGCCTCGGCCCAAGGGGCCATTCCAAAGTGGCAGGAAGGCTTGAAATGGGAGGTCAAGGCACCTGTGTTGTGGAAGGAAAACACAAATGGTGAGGGATAGGTCGCCCCCACGGGCGAAAGTGCCGCCCCACTATGAAAGCGTGGGGCTGAGAGGATCCTGGGCGTCCCTGTTTCGCACCCACGAGGTGCCTCGCGCCCACAGAAGTCAGACCAAGTGACAGGAAGTCTTGAAAGGCGAAGTCGAGGCACCCGTGGTGTGGAAGGAAAACAAAAACGGTGAGGCAGAGGTCCCCCCCAGGTGCCAAAGTGCCTCCCCACTGAACATAAGTGGGGCCCCAGGGAAACTGGGCATCCCTGGTTCATGGCCACGGAGGGTTTTGGGCCCACGGGGTACAGCCCAAGGCGGCAGCAAGGCTTGAATGGGGAGGTCGAGGCACCTGTGTTGTGGAATGAAAACAAAAGTGGCATGGCAGAGGTCACCCCCATGGGCGAAAGTGCCTCCCCACCGCACCTGCGTGGGGCCCAGGGGACACTGGGCATATCTGGCTCACAAGCATGGAGCGCCTCGGGCCCACAGGCGCCAACCCAAGGCGGAAGGAAGGCTTGAAAGGGGAGGTTGAGGCACCTGTGTGGTGGGGGAAAACACAAACGGCAAAGCAGAGGACCCCCCACAACGGGCGAATGTGCCTGCCCACCGCTCATGAGCGGGAATAAGGGGAACCTCAGCGTCCCTGGTTCACACCCATGGAGCTCCTCGGACAACAGGGGCCAGCCCAAGGCGACAGGAAGGCTTGAAAGGCAAGTCGAGGCACCTGTGGTGTGGAAGGAAAACACAAACAGCACAGCAGAGGTCTCCCCCAACGGGCGAAATTGCCTCCCCACCACACATGCACAAGGCCCAGGGGACCCTGGGTGTCCCTGTTTTGCACCCACGGAGTGCCTCGGCCAACAGGGGCCATCCCAAGACGGCAGGAATGTTTGAAAGGGGAGGTCGAGGCACTTGTGGTGTGGAAGGAAAACATAACCTGCGTGGCAGAGGTCCCCCACTACGAGAGAAAGTGCCTCCCCACCGCAATGCGTGGATCCCTGGAAACCTTGGGCATCCCGGGTTGGCATCTATGTATCGCTTCGGCCCAGGGGGTCCAGCCCAAATCAGAGGAAGTCTTGAAATGTTAGGTCGAGGCACCTGTGTTGTGGAAGGAAAACACAAACGGCGAGGTCGAGGTCCCCCCCATGGGCGAAAGTACCTCCCTACCGCACATGCGCATGGCCCAGGGGACAGTGGTCGTCCCTGGTTCGTGCCTACAGAAGGCCTTGGTCCCACCTATTCCAGCTCAAAGCGGCAGGAATGCTTGAAAGGGGAGGTCGAGGCACCTGCGCTGTGAAAGGAAAACAGAAATGGCGCGGCAGAGGATCCCCCACGGGCGAAAGTTCCTCCCCACTGTTCATCCGCGGGACTCAAGGGACCCAGGGAGTCCCTGGATCACGACCATGGAGCGTCTCGGGCCCATGGGGCCTAGCCCAAGGCGGCAGGAAGGCTTCAAAGGGGAGGTCGAGGCACCTGTGGTATGGAAGGAAAACACAAACGGCGCAGCAAAGGATCACCCCACGGGCTAAAGTGCCTCTCCACCACTCATGCCCTGGACTCAGGGGACACTGGCCTCCCTGTTTCGCACCCACTGAGCACCTCAGCCCACAGGGGCCAGCCCAAGGTGGCAGGAAAGCTACAAATGGGAGGTCGAGTCTCCTGTGTAGCAGACGGAAAACACAAACGGCAAGGCAGAGGTCCCCCCCACTGGCGAAAGTACCTCCCCGTCGCTCATGTGCACGGCCCAGGGGACCCTGGGCGTCCCTGGATCATGCCCACGGAGAGCCTTGGGCCCACAGGGACCAGCCCAAGTCTGCAGGAAGTCTTGAAAGGGGAGGTCGAGGCACCTGTGTTGTGGAAGGAAAAAATATTTGGCACGGCAAACGATCACCCCACTGGCGAAAGTGCCTCCCCATGGCGCAGGCGCAGGGCCCAGGGGACCCTGCGCATCCCTGGTATGTGCCCACTGAGCACCTCGGACCACAAGGGCCAACCCAAGTAGGCAGGAAGGCTTGAAAGGGGAGGTCGAGGCACCTGTGTTGTGGAAGGAAAACACAAATGGCAATACAGAGGTCCCCCCCACAGGCGAAAGTTTCTCCCCACCGCGCATGCGTGGGGCCCAGGGGACCTTGGACATCCCTGGTACATACCCATGGAGTGACTCTGGCCCATGGGGGCCAGACCAAGGCGGCAGGAATGCATGAAAGGGGAGGTCGAGGCACCTGTGTTATGGAAGGAAAACAAAAATGGCGAGGCAGAGTTTCCCCCACACGGGTGAAAGTGCTTCCCCACCGTTCATGCATGTGGCCCAGGGGACCCTGGGCGTCCCTGTTTCGCACTCATGGAGAGCCTTGGCACACGGGGTCCAGCCTAAGGCTACAGGAAATCTGGAATGGGGAGGTCGAGGCACCTGTGTTGTGGAAGGGAAACACAAATGCCGAGGAAGTGGTCCCCACCCAGGGGCGGAAATGTCTCCCCTCCACGCATGCCTGGGGCCCAAGTGACCGTGGGCGGCCCTGGTTCATGCCTGCAGAGCGCCACAAGCCCACGGAAGCCAGCGCAAGGTAGCAGGAAGGCTTGACAGGGGAGGTCGAGGCACCTGTGTTGTGGAAGGAAAACAGAAATAGAGAGGCAGGGGTCCCCCCGACGGGTGAAGGTTCCTCTCCACCGCACATGCACGGGACCCAGGGGACCCTGGGTGTCCCTGGTTCATGCCCATGGAGTGCCTCGGGACCACAAGGGCCAGCCCAAGGTGGCAGAATGCCTTGAAAGGGGAGGTCGAGGCACATGAGGTGTGGAAGGAAAACGCAAATGGCGAGGCAGAGGTCCCGCACCACGGGTAAAAGTGCCTCCCCACCGTGCATGCACGAGTCCCAGGACACCCTGGGCATCCCTAGTTCCCGCCCAAGGAGCACCTTCGGCCAACGGGAGCCAGTCCAAGGCGGCAGGAAGGCTTGAAATGGGATGTCGAGGCACCTGTGCTGTGGAAGGGAAATACAAACGGCTAGGCAGAGGTCACCCCCACGGCAGAAGTGCCTCCCCACCGCGCATACGCAGGGCCCAGGGGACCCCGCGCATCCCTGGTTCGCACACACTGAGCGCCTCCGGCCAAAGGCGGCTAGCCCAAGGTGCACGAAGACTTGAAAGTGGAGGTCGTGGCAGCTGTTTTGTGGGAGGAAAACACAAACGGCGAGGCAGAAGTCCCCCCACACAGGCGGAAGTGCCTCTCCACCGCGCATGCATGGGGCCCATGGATTCACACCCAGGGCGAGCCTCGGGCCCACGAGATCCAGACCAAGTCGCCAGGAGGGCATGAAATGGGAGATCGAGGCAGCTGTGTTGTGGAAGGAAAACACAAACGGCTAGGCAGAGGTACACACCACTGGCGAAAGTGCCTACCCACCATGCATGCATGTGGCCCAGGGGACCCTGGGAATCGCTGGTTCACACCCACGGGGAACCTTGGCCCACGGAGGCCAGCCCAAGTTGGCAGGAAGTCTTGAATGGGGAGGTCGAGGCACCTGTGTTGTGGAAGGGAAACAAATGCCGAGGCAGTGGTCCATGCAAAGGGCAAAAGTGTCTCTCCACCACGCATGCCCAGGCCCCAGGGGACTGTGGGCAACCCTGGTTTATGCCCACAGAGCCCCGCAGCCCCACAGAGGCCAGCCCAACGTGGCAGGAAGGCTTGAAATGGTAGGTCGAGGCGC
Source organism: Homo sapiens (assembly GCF_000001405.40). NCBI lineage: Eukaryota > Metazoa > Chordata > Mammalia > Primates > Hominidae > Homo > Homo sapiens. The sequence goes on along the minus strand of NC_000012.12, from coordinate 34,366,666 downwards.
CTGTGATGTGGAAGGGAAACGCAAAAGGCGAGGGAGAGGTCACCCCCATGGGGGACAGTTCCTCCCCACCGTGCATACGCGGATCTCAGGGCACCCGGGCATCCCTGGTTCACTCCCACTGAGTGCCTCGGGCCCACGGGGGCCAGCCCAAGGTGCAGGAAGTCTGGTAAGGGGAGGTCGAGGCAGCTGTGCTGTGGAAGGAAAACACAAACGGCGAGGCAGAGGTCCCCCAACATGGGAGGCATTGCCTCTCTACTGAGCATGCGCGGGGCCCAGGGGACCCTTGGCATCCCTGACTCATGGCCACGGAGTGCCTACGGTCCACCAGGGCCAGCCCAAGGCGGCGGGAAGGCTTGAAAGGGGAGGTCGAGGCACCTGTGTTGTGGCAGGAAAACTCAAACAGCGCGGCAGAGGTCCAACACCACAGGCGAAAGTGCCTGCCCACCGCAAATGCTCGGGGGCAAGGGAACCCAGGGTTTCCCTGGTTCATGCCCACGGAATGCCTTGAGCCCACGGAAGCCAGCCCAAGAGAGAAGGAAGGCTTGAAATGGGAGACCGAGGCCCCTGTGTTGTGGAGGGAAAACAAACGGTGAGGCAGAGGTCCCTAACCACGGGCGAAAGTGCCTCCTCACCGTCCCCACCGCGCATGCACGGGGCCCAGGGCATCCCTGGATCATGCCCACGTGGCGCCTCAGGCCCACGGGGGCCAGCCCAAGGCAGCAGGAAGGCTTGATAGGGGAAGTCGAGGCACCTGTGTTGTGCAAGGAAAAGAGAAAGAGCGAGGCAGATGTCTCACCAAACGGAGGAAAGTCTCTCCCCACGGCGCATGGGCTGGGCCCAGTGGATCCTGGGCATCCCTGGTTCCCACGCATGGAGGGCCCACGGGGGCCAGCCCAAGACGGCAGGAAGGCCTGAAATGGGAGGTCGAGGAACATTTGCTGTGGAAGAAAACACAAACAACGAGGCAGAGATCCCCAACGCGTATGCATGGTGCCCAAGAGACCCTGGGCATCTCTAGTTCAAGTGAACAGAGCGTCTCGGGCCCACAGGGGCCGGACTAAGGGAGCAGGAAGGCGTGATAGGGGAGGTCGAGGCACCTCTGTTGTGGAAGGAAAACACAAATAGCAAGGCAGAGCCCCCCCCCCCCACGGGAGAACGTGCCTCCCCACCAAGCATGCGTGGGGCCCAGGGGACCCTGGGCATCCCTTGTTCACGCCCATGGAGTGCATCGGGCCCCCGGGGGCCAGCGCAAGGCATCAGGAATGCTTGAAAGAGGAGGGCGAGGCACCTGTGTTGTGGAAGGAAAACAAAAACGGGGAGGCAGAGGTCCCCTTCCACCAGCGAAAATGCCCCCCACCGCGAATGCTCAGGGGCAAGGGCACACAGGACATCCCTGGTTCGTGCCCACTGAATGCCTTGAGCCCACGGAGGCCAGCCCAAGAGAGCAGGAAGGCTTGAAACGGGAGACCGAGATCCCTGTGTAGTGGAAGGAAAATGCAAACGGCGAGGTATCGGTCCCCAGCCACGAGCGAAAGTGCCTCCCTACCCCGCATGCGTGGGACCAAGGGGAACCTGGGCGTCCCTGGTTCACGCCCTCAGAGTACCTCAGGCCCAGGCGTCAAGCCCAAAGCTGCAGGAAGGCTTGAAAGGGGAGGTCGAGGCAGCTCTGTTGTAGAAGGAAAACACAAATGGCGAGGCAGAGGTCCCAACGCACGGGCGAAAGAGCCCCCTCACCGGGCATGTGTGTGGCCCAGGGGACCCTTGGCACCCCTGGTTTCCACCTATCTAGCGTCTCGGCCCATGGCGGCCAGCCCAAGGCGGCAGGAGGGCCTGAAATGGGAGGTCGAGGCACCTGCGTTGTGGAAGGAAAAGAAAAAGGGTGAAGAAGAGGCCTACCACGGGCGAAAGTGCCTCCCCACCGTGCTTGCACAAGGCCCGGGGACCCTGGGCATCCCAGTTTCGTGCCCACGGAGTGCCTCGGGCCTATGGGGGCCAGCCCAAAGCGGCAGGAAGGCTTGAAAAGGGAAGTTCGAGGCACCTGTGGTGTGGAGGGAAAACACAAACAGCGCAGCAGTGGTGCCCCCCCATGGGGGAAAGTGCCTCATCAACGTGCACGCAGGGGGCCCAGGGGATGCTGAGTGTCCCTGGTTTGCAACCACAGAGCGCCTCAGTCCCAGTCCCACGGGGTCCAGCCCAAGGTGGCAGGAAAGCTTGAAAGGGGAGGTCGAGGCACGCGTGTTGTGGAAGGAAAACAGAAACAGGGAGGCCGTGGTCCCCCTCCATGGGTGAAGGTGCCTCCCCACCACACTTACACGGGGTCCAGTGGATCCGTCCCTGGTTCCCACGCACGGAGCACTGCGGGCCCACGGAGGCCAGCCCAAGAAGGCAGGAAGTCCTGAAATGGGAGGTCAAGACACCTTTGTTATGGAAGGAAAACACAAACGGCGAGGCAGAGGTCCCAGCCCACAGGCGAAAATTCCTTCCCACCACACATGTGCAGGGCCCAGGGGAACCTGCGTGTCCCTGGTTCACACCCACGGAGCGCCTCGGGCCCACGGGGACAGCCCAAGGCAGCAGGAAGGCTTAAAGGGGAGGTTGAGGCACCCGTGTTGTGGAAGGAAAACAGTAACGGCGCGGCAGAGGTCACCCCCAACGGAAGAAAGTGCCTCACCACTGCACATGCCATGGGCCCAGGGCACCCTGGGCGTCCCTGTTTCATGCCTGGGGAGTGCCTTGGTCCCACGGGGGCCAGCCCAAGGCGGTTGGAAAGCTTGAATGGGGAGGTCGAGGCACCTGTCTTCTGGAAGGAAAACACAAACGGCGAGGCAGAGGTCCCGCCCAAGGGCGAAAGTGCCCCCCACGGCACATGCGTGGGGACCAGAGGACACTCAGCGTCCCTCGTTCATGCCCACACAGCACTTCGGCACACAGGGGCCAGCCCAAGGCGGCAGGAAGGCTTCAATGGGAAGGTCGAGGCAACTGTGGTGTGGAAGAAAAAAACAAATGGCGCTGCAGAGGTACGCCACCCCCGGGGGAAACTGCCTCCCCACTCCGCATGCATGGGGCGCAGGGCGTCCCTGGATGGTGCCCACGTAGCGCCTCGAGCCCAAGGGGGCCAGCCCAAGGCAGCCGGAAGGCTTGAAAGGGGAGGTCGAGGCACCTGAAGTGTGGAAGGAAAACGCAAACGGCGAGTTAGAGGTCTCCGCCACAGGCGAAAGTGCCTCCCCACCGTGCATGCGCAGGGCCCAGGGGACTCTGGGCGTCCCTGCTTCGCACCCATAGAGTACGTAGGGTCCACGGGGGCCAGCCCAAGGCGGCAGGAAGTCTTGAAAGGGGAGGTCGAGGCATCTGTGTTGTGGAAGGAAAACACAAACCATGAGAAAGAGTTCCCCCTCCAAGGGCGAACGTGCCTCCCCACCACGCATGCGCGGGGCCCAGGGGACCCTGGTCGTCACTGATTCATGCACAAAGAGTGCCTCCGCCCACGGGGTCCAGCCCAAGGCGGCAGGAATGCTTGAAAGGGGAGGTCGAATCACCTGTGTTGTGCAAGGAAAACAGAAACACCGAGGCAGATGTCACACCACACGAACGAAAGTCTCTCCCCACCGCGCATGGGCTGGGCCCAGTGGATCCCGGGTCTCCGTGGTTCCCATACACGGAGCACCTCGGGCCCACGGGGGCCAGCCCAAGACGGCAGGAAGGCCTGAAATGGGAGGTCAAGGTAACTTTGTTGTGGAAGGAAAACCCAAACAACAAGGCAGAGATCCCCACCCACGGTCGAAAGTGCCTCCCCAGAGCGCTTGCGTGGTGCCCATGGGACCCTGGGCATCCCTAGTTCACGCCCACAGAGCATCTCAGGCCCACGGGGGCCGGACTAAAGTGGCAGGAAGGCGTGATAGGGGAGGTCGAGACACTGCTTCTGTGGAAGGAAAACACAAATAGCAAGGCAGAGGTGCCACACCACGGGCGAACGTGCCTCCCCACCAAGCATGTGTGGGGCCCAGGGGACCCTGGGCATCCCTCATTCATGCCCACAGAGTGCATCAGCCCCACGGGGGCCAGCTGAAGGCGGCAGGAATGCTTGAAAGAGGAGGGCGAGACACCTGTGTTGTGGAAGGAAAACAAAAACGGGGAGGTAGAGGTCCCCTCCCACGGGCGAAAGCGCCGCCCCACTGCGAATGCTCAGGGCAAGGGAACCCAGGGCATCCCTGGTTCACGCCCACGGAATGCCTTGAGCCCACAGAGGCCAGCCAAAGAGAGCAGGAAGGCTCGAAATGGGAGACCGAGGCCCCTGTGTTGTGGAAGAAAAACACAAACGGCGAGGCAGAGGTCCCCAACCACGGGCGAAAGTGCCTCCCCACCGCACATGCACAGGGCCAAGGGGACCCTGGGTATCCCTAGTTCGTGCCTTCAGGGGGCCTCGGGCTCAGGGGGGCCAGGCCAAGGCGGCAGGAAGGCTTGAAAGAGGAGGACGAGGCAGCTGTGTTGTGGAAGGAAAACAAATGGCGAGGCAGAGGTCCCCCACTCCACGGGTGAAAGTGCCTCCCCACCGCGCATGCGTGGGGCCCTAGGGACCCTGGGCTTCCCTGATTCACGCCTATGGAGTGCGCCGGGCCCATGGGGGCCAGCCCAATGAGGCAGGAAGGCTTGAAAAGGGAGGTCGAAACACCTGTGTTGAGTAAGGAACGCAGAGATGGCGAGACAGAGGTCCCCTGCCACGGGAGAATGTGCCGCCCCACCACTCATGTGAGGGGCCCAGGGTACCGTGGTCGTCCCTGGTTCATGTCCACGGAGTGCCTCGGGCCCACGGGGGCCAGCGTAAGGTGGCAGGAAGGCTTGAAAGGGGAGGTCGAGGCACCTGTATTGTGGTGGGAAAACACAAACGGCGAGGCAGAGGCCCCCCCCACGGGCTAAACTGCCTCCCCAGAGCGCATGCGTGGGGCCATGGGGACCCTGAGTGTCCCTGGTTCGCACCCACGGTGCGCCTTGGGCCCACGGGGGCCGGCCCGAAGCAGCAGGAAAGCTTGAATGGAGAGGTCGAGGCACTTGTGTTGTGGCAGGAAAACAAACGGCGAGGAAGAGGTCCCCCCACACGGAAGGAAGTGCTTCTCCACCGCGCATGAGTGGGGTCCAGGGGACCGTGGGCGTCCCTGACTCATGCCCACGGAGCGCCTACTGTCCACGCAGGCCAGACCAAGTCGCCAGTATTGCTTGAAATGGGAGGTCGGAGCACCTGTTTTGTGGAAGGAAAACAAACGGAGAGGCAGAGGTCCCCCCACGGGCGAAAGTGCCTCCCCACCGTGCATGTGTGTGGCTGAGGGGACCCTGAGTGTCCCTGATTCACACCCATGGAGTGCCTCGGCCCACGGGGGCCAGCCCAAGGTGTCAGGAATGCTTGAATGGGGAGGTTGAGGCACCTGTGTTGTGGAAGGGAAACAAACACCGAAGGAGTGGTTCCCCCCGCCCAAGGGCGAAAGTGTCTCCCCACCGCACATGCCCAGGCCCCAGGGGGCCCTGGAAATCCCTGATTCATGCTCATGGAGCCCCGTGGGCCAACGCATGCCAGCCCAAGGTGGCAGAAAGTCTTGAAAGGGGAGGTCGAGGCACCTGTGTTGTGAAAGGAAAACACAAATGGCGAGGCAGCGGTCCCCTCCACAGGAGAAAGTGCCTCCGTACCATGAATACTCCGGGAACAGGGGACCCGGGGAATCCCTGGTTCACACGGTGGAGTGCCTCGGGCCCAAGGGGGCCAGCCCAAGGCGGCAGGAAGGCTTGAAAGGGCAGGTCGAGGCACCCGTGTTTTGGAAGGAAAACACAAACGGTGTGGAAGAGGTAAGGACCCAGAGGCGAAAGTGCCTCCCCACGGTGCATTTGTGGGGCCCAGGGGACCCTGGATTTGGCCCATGGAGCACCTCGTCCCACGGGGGCCAGCCCAAGGCAGCAGGAAGGCTTCAAAGGGGAGGTCGAGGCACCTGTGGTGTGGAAGGAAAACACAAACGGGGCAGCAGAGGATCACCCCACGAGCGAAAGTGCCTCCCCACTGCTCAGGCGCTGGGCTTAGGGACCCTGGGTGTCCCTGGTTTGCAACCACAGAGCGTCTTGGTCCCACGGCGTCCATCCCAAGGTGTCAGGAAAGCTTGAAAGGGGAGGTCGAGGCAAAGGTTTTGTGGAAGGGAAACAGAAACAGCAAGGCCGTCGTCCCACTCCATGGGCGAAAGTGCCTCCCCACTGTGCATACGCAGGGTCCAGGGGACCCTGGGTGTCCCTGGTTCACCCCCATGGTGCGTCTCGGCCAAGGGTGGGGGGGCAGCCCAAGGCCTCAGGAAATCTTGAAAAGAAAGGTCGAGGCACCAGTTGTGTAGAAGGAAAACAAAAATGGGGCGGCTGAGGTCCCCACCGACTGGCGAAATGCCTCCCCACCCCGCATGCGGGGCTCCCATGGAAGCCTGGGCATCTGTGGTTCACACCCACTTAGTGCCTTGTGCCCATGGGGGCCAGCCAAGGTGACAGGAAGGCTTGAAAGGGGAGGTCGAGGCACCTGTGTTGTGGAAGGAAAACACAAACGGCGAGGTAGTGGTCCCCTGTCACGGGCGAAAGTGCCTCCCCACGTAGCATCTGTGGGACCCATGGGAACCTAGGGGTTCCTGATTCATGCCCACTGAGCGTCTCGGATCCACAGGGGCCAGCCCGAGGCGGTAAGTATGCCTGAAATTGGAGGTCGAGACACCTGTGTTGTGGAAGGAAAACATAAACGGCAAGGCAAAGGTCCAACCCACGGGTTAAAGTGACTCCCCACCGTGCATGTGTGGGGCCCAGTGGACCCTAGGCGTTCCTGTTTCTTGCCCATAGAGCGCCTCGGCCCCACAGAGGTCAGCCAAACCGCAGGAAGGCTTGAAAGGGGATGTCGAGGCACCTGTGGTGTGGAAGGACAACACAAACGGCGAGGCAGAGGTCCCCCCCCACGGGCCAAAGTGCCCTCCACCATGCATGCACGGGGCCCAAGGGTCCCTGGGCCTCCCTGATTCGCACCCATGGAGTGCCTTGGACCACAGGAACCAGCCCAAGGCGGCTGGAAGTCTTGAAATGGGAGGTCGAGTCACCTATGGTTTGGAAGGAGAACACAAACGTTGAGGCAAAGTTCCCCTGCCACGGGTGAAAATGCCTTCCTTCCGCCGATGGGCAGGGTCCAGGGGACCCTGGGCATCCCAGGTTCACGCCCATGGAGCCCCGCGGCCCACAGGACTCAGCGCAAGGCTGCAGGAAGTCTTGAAATGGGAGGTCGAGGCACCAGTGGTGTAGGAGGAAAACACAAACTGCGCAGCAGAGCTTCCCCCCCACGGGCCAAATTGCTTCCCCACCGCACATGCATGAAGCCAGGGTACCCTGAATTCTGTGGTTCATGCCCAGGGTGGGCCTCAGGCTCACGAGGTTAGGCCCAATGAGGCAGGAAGGCTTGAAACAGGAAGTCGAGGCAACTGTGGTGTGGAAGGAAAACAGAAATGGCACGGCAGAGGACCTCCCCCCGACGGGTGCAAGGGCCTCCCCATCGCGCATGTGTGGGGCCTAGGGGACCCTGGGCATCCCTGGATCATGCCCAGGGAGTGCCTTTGGCTCATGGGGGCCAGCCCAAGGCGGCAGGAAGGCTTGAAAGGGGAGATCGAGGCACCTGTGGTGTGGAAGGAAAACACAAACGGCCCGGCAGAGGATCCCCCTACGGGCAAAAATGCCTCTCCACCAGGCATGTGTGGGGCCCAGGGGACCCTGGGCATCCCTGCTTCATGCCCACTGAGCGCCTCGGCCTACAAGGGACAGCCCAAGGCTCAGGAAAACTTGAAAGGGGAGGTTGAGGCACCTGTGTTTTCAAACGAAAACAAACAGCGCGGGAGCAGTGACCCCCATGGGAGAAAGTGCCTCCCCTCCGCAAATGCGCCAGGCCTAGGGGACCCTGGGCGTCTCTTTTTCATGCCCACAGAGCGTCTCGGTACCACAGGGGACAGCCCAAGCGGTAGGAAGGCTTGAAAAGGGAGGTCGAGGCACCTGTGATGAGGAAGGAAAACACAAATGGCACGGCAGAGGTCCCACCCATGGGAGAAAGTCGGTCCCCACCATGCATGCGTGGGACCCAGGGGACCCTGGGCATCTCAGGCTCATGCCCACAGAGTGCCGTGGGCCCACGGGAGCCAGCCTAAGGTGGCAGGAAGGCTTGAAAGGTGAGGTCGGGACACCTGTGTTGTGGAAGGAAAACACAAACGGCACAGCAGATGTCCCCCCCCCACTGGCGAAAGTGCCTCCCCGCCGCGCATGGGTGGGGCCCAGGGGACCATGGGCATCCCTGGTACTCGCCTACGGAGCGCCTTGGGCCCACGGAGACAAGCACAAGGTGGCAGGAAGGCTTGAAAGTGGAGGTTGAGGCACCTGTGTTGTGGAACGAAAACACAAACGGCTCGGCAGAGGTCCCCCCGCCACAGGAGAAAGTGCCTCCCCACCGCTCATGCGCAAGGCCCAGGGGTCCCTGGAGGACACTAATTCACGCCTAAGGAGCAACTCGAGCCCACGAGGGCCAGCCCAAGGCGGCAGGAAGTCTTGAAAGGGGAGGTCGAGGCACCTGTGTTGTGGAAGGAAAACACTAATGGCGCCACAGAGTTACCCCTCAACGGGCGAAAGTGCCTTCGCACCGCGCATGTGCGGGGCCCAGGGGACCGTGAGCATCCCTGGTTCATGCCCATGGAGCGCCTTGGGCACAAGGATGCCAGACAAAGCGGCAGGAACATTTAAAAGGGGAGATCAAGGCACCTGTTTTGCGGAAGAAAAACACAAATGGCCAGGCAGAGGTCCCCCCTTAAGGGCGAAAGTGCCTCAACACTGTGAATGCGTGGGGCCCACGGGACCCTGGGCGTCCCTGGTTCATGCCCACGGAGCGCCCTGGGCCCATGGGGTTCAGCCCAAGGCAGCAGGAATGCTTGAAAGGGGAGGTCGAAGCACCTCTGTTGGGGAGGAAAACACAATCGGCGAGGCAGAGGTCCCCATCACCGGCGGAAGTGCCTCCCCACTGCGCATGCCTGGTGCACAGGGGATGCTGAGCATCCCTGGTTCAAGCCCATGGAGGGCCTCAGCCAACAGGGCCAGCCCAAGGCGGCAGGAATTCTTGAAAGGGGAGGTCGAGGCACCTGTGTTGTGGAAGGAAAACAGAAACGGCGCAGCAGAGGTCACCCCCAACGAGAGAAAGTACCTCACCACTGCAAATGCGATGGGCCCAAGGGACCCTGGGCATCCCTAGCTCGTGCTCACGGAGCACCTCGGGCCCATGGGGGCCAGCCGAAGGCTGCACGAATGCTTGAATAGGGAAGGCGAGTCACCTGTGTTGTGGAAGGAAAACACAAACGGCGGGGCAGAGGTCCCCCCCACCACGGGCGAAAGTGCCTCCCCACCACGCATGCATGTTGCCCAGCGGACCCCGGACGTCCCTGGTTCATGTCGACAGAGCGCTTCGGCCCAAGGCGGCCAGCTGAAGGCGGCAGGAAGGTTTGAAATGGGAGGTCCAGGCATCTTTATTGTGAAGGAATACAGAAACGTCACGGCAAAGGTCTCCCCAACGGGCGAAAGTGCCTCCCCACCGTGCATGCGCAGGCCCCAAGGGACCCTGCATATCCCTGGTTCATGCCTATGAAATGTCTCGTGCCCGCGAGGCCAGCCCGTGGCGGCAGGAAAGCTTGAAAGGGGAGGTCGAGGCACCTGTGTTGTGGAAGGAAAACACAAACGGCTAGGCAGAGATCACCCACCACGGGCGAAAGTGCCACCCCACCGCGCATGCGCAGGGCCCAAGTGTTCCTGGGTGTCCCTGGGTGTCCCTGGTTCATGCTCATGGAGCACCTCAGCCCACGAGGGCCAGCCCAAGGCAGCAGGAAGGCTAGAAAAGGGAGGTCGAGGCACCTGTGTTGTGGAAGGAAAACACAAACGGCGTGGCAGACGTCCCTTCCACGAGCGAAAGTGCCTCCCCACTGCGCATGTGCGGGGGACCAGGGGACCCTGGGTCTCCCAGGTTCATGCCCACGGAGCGCCTCGGGCCCAGAGACCCCAGCGCAAAGCGGCAGGGAGGCTGGAAAAGGGAGGTCGAGGCCTCTGTGTTGTCACAGGTAAACAGAAACGGCGCAGCAGAGGTACCCCCCACCCCCAACAGGCGAAAGTGACTCATCAGCTCACATGCGCGGATCCTATGGGACCCTGGGCCTTCCAGGTTCAGCCTGGTGAACACCTCGGGCCCACGGGGGCCAGCCCAAGGCGGCAGGGAGGCTCGAAAGGGAAGGTCAAGGTGCTTGTGGTGTGACACGTAAACACAAATGGCATGGCAGAGGTCCCCCACCACAGGATAACGTGACTCCCCAGCGAGCATGCGCAGGATCCAGGAGACCATGGGCCTCCCAGGTTCACCACCACGAAGCACCTCGGGCCCATGGGGGCCAGCCCAAGGTGGCAGGGATGCTTCAAAGGGGATGTCAAGGCTCCTGCTGTGTGGCAGGAAAACAGAAACGGCACGGCAGAGGTCCCCATCCACGGGCGAAAGTGTCTCCCCTCCGCGCAAGTGCAGGGCCCAAGGGGACCCTGCACCTCCCAGGTTCACAGCCAAGGAGCGCCTCGGCCCGACAGTGGCCAGCCCAAGGCGGCAGGGAGGCTTGAAAGGGGAGGTCGAGGTGCCTTCGGTGTGGCAGGAAAACAGAAAAGGCGCAGTAAAGGTCCCCTCCCCACGGGTGAAAGTACTTCCCTACCGCTCATGCACAGAGCCCAGGGGACCCTCGGCCTCACAGGACGTGCCCACGGAGCGCCTCGGACCGACGGTGGCCAGCCCAAGGCAGCAGGGAGGCTTGAAAGGGGAGGTCGAGGCACATGTGGTGTGGCAGGAAACAGAAATGGCGCAGCAGAGGTCCCCCCACACTGGTGAAGTTGCCACCCCACCGTGCATGCATGGGTCCCAGGGGACCCTGGGCTTTCCAGGTTCATGCCCACGGAGCGCCTCGGGCCCACTTTGGCCATTGCAAAAGGGCAGGAAGGCTTGAAAGGGGAGGTCGAGTCGCCTGTGTTGTTGCAGGAAAACAGAAATGGCGCAGAAGAGCTACACGCCCACGGGCGAAAGTGCATACCCACCACGCATGAATGGGGCCCAGGGGACGCTGGTCCTCCCAGATTCGTGCCCACAGAGAGTCTCGGGCCCACGGATGCCAGCCCAAGGCGGCAGGGAGGCTTGAAAGGGTAGGTCGAGTTGCCTGTGGTGTGGCAGGAAAACAGAAACCGCATGGCAGAGGTCTCTCCCACAGGCGAAAGTGCCCCCCCATCACTTATGCTGGGGCAGGCGACCCTGAGCCTCCCAGGTTCGTGCCCAGGGAGTGAGTTGGGTCCACAGGGTCCAGCCCAACACGGCAGGGACGCTTGAAAAGGGAGGTCGAGTCTCCTGTATTTTGGCAGGAAAACAGAAACAGCGCGGCAGAGGTCCCACCCCACGGGCGAAAGTGCCTCCCCAACGCGCATGCACGGGGACTAGGGGACCCTGGACCTCCCAGATTCGCGCCCATGGAGCGCCTCGGGCCCACGGGGCCAGCCCAAGGCAGGAGGAGGATTGAAAGTGTAGGTCGAGGCGCCTGCGGTGCGGCGGGGAAACAGAAACGGCATGGCAGAGGTCCCTCCCAATGGGAGAGAGTGCCTCCCTCCTGCGCATGCGCGGGGCCCAGGGGCCCTGGGACTCCCAGGTTCACACTTAGAGTGCCTCAGGCCCACGGGGGCCAGCCCATGGCGGCAGGGAAGCTTGAAAGGGGATGTCAAAGCTCCTGTGGTGAGGCAGGAAAACAGAAAAGCCGCGGCAAAGGCCCATCCCCACGGGCGAAAATGCCACCCACCACGCATTCGTGGGGCCCAAGGGACCCTGGCGGGAGCCAGCACAGAACTGCATGAAGGCTTGAAATGGGAGATTGAGGCACCTGTGGTGTGGCAGGAAAACAGAAACGGCGCAGCAGAGGTCCCCCCACTTAACGCGTGAAAGTGCCTCCCCACTGCATATGCGCGGGGTCCAGGGTACACTGGGCCTCCCAGGTTCGCGCCCACGGAGCGCCTCGGGCTCACAGGGGCCAGCCAAAGTCGGCAGGGAGGCTTGAAAAGGGAGGTCGATGCACCTGTGGTGTGGCAAGGAAACACAAACGTTGCGGCAGAGGTCCCCTCCACGGGCGAAGGTGCCTCCCCACCGCGCATGCGTGTGACCCAGGGGACCCTGGGCCTCTCAGGTTCCCGCCCACGGAGCACCTTGGGCCCATGGGGGCCAGCCCAAAGCTGCAGGGAGGCTTGAAAGGGTAGGTCGAGTCGCTTGTGGTGTGGCAGAAAAACAGAAAAGGTGTGGCAGAGGTCCCCCCCATGGGCGAAAGTGCCTCCCTGCCACACATGCTGGGGCCAGGGGACACTGGGCCTCCCACATTTGTGCCCACGGAGCGAATTGGGCCCACGGGGTCCAGACCAAGGCGGCAGGGACGCTTGAAAGGGGAGGTCGAGGCGCCAATTGTGTGGCTGGAAAACAGAAACGACCCAGCAGAGATCCCTTCCACGGGTGAAAGTGCTACCCCACCGAGCATGTGTGAAGCCCGGGGGACCCTACGCCTCCCAGGTTCATACCCACGGGGCGCCTCGGGCCCACAGGGGCCAGCCCAAGGGGGCAGGGAGCCTTGAAAGGGCAGCTTGAAGTGCCTGTGGTGTAGCAGGAAAACAAGTGGCGCTGCAGAGGTCCATCCCACGGGCGAAAGTGCCCCCCACCGCTCACGCATGGGGCCCACGGAGCGCCTCGGGCCCAGGGGGGCCAGCCCAAAGCGGCAGGGAGGCTTGAAATGGGAGGTAGAGGCGCCTGTGTTGTGGCAGGTAAACAGAAATGGCGTGGCAGAGGTCCCCCACCAGGCGAAAGAGACTCCACAGCGTGCATGCGCAGTGCCCAGGGCACCCTGGGCCTCCCAGGTTCACTGTCACAAAGTACCTTGGGCCCAAGGCGGCAGGGAGGCTTCAAAGGGGATGTCGAGGCACCTGTGGTGTGGCAGGAAAACAGAAACGGCTCCGCAGAGGTCCCCCTTCCACAGGTGAAAGTGCCTCCCCACCGCGCATACGTGGGGCCCAGCGGACTGTGGGCCTCAAAAATTCGCAACCATGGAGCACCTCGGGCCCACGGGGCCCAGCCCAATGCAGCAGGGAGGCTTGAAAGGGGAGGTCGAAGCACCTGTGTTTTAGCAGGAAAACAGAAATGGCGCGGCAGAGGTCCCACCTCACGGGCAAAAGTGCTTCCCCATCGTGCATGCGTGAAGTCCAGGGGACCCTGCGCCCCCAAGGTTCATGCCCACGGAGCGCCTCGGGCCCACTTGGGCCAGTCTACGGAGGCAGGGAGCCTTGAAAGGGAAGATCGAAATGCCTGTGGTGTGACAGGAAAACAGAAGCGGCACTGCAGAAGTCCACCCCACGGGCGAAAGTGCCTCCCTACCACTCACGAATGGGGCCCAGGGGACCCTGGGAGCCCCAGGTTCATGCCCACAGGTTGCCTCGGGCCAAAGGGGGCCAGTCCAAAGCGGCAGGGAGTCTTGAAAGGGGAGGTAGAGGCGCCTGTGGTGTGGCAGGTAAACAGAAACTGCGCGGCAGAGGTCACCCCCCACAGGAGAAAGGTCCCCTCCCCACGGGCGAAAGTGCCTCCCCACCTCTCATGCATGGAGCGCAGGGGACCCTGGGACTCCCAGGTTCACGCCCACAGAGCGCCTCGGGCTCAGCGGGGCTAGCCCAAAGCGGCAGGGAGGATTGAAAGGGGAGGTCGAGGCGCCTGTGGTGTGGCAGGTAAACAGAAACAGTGCGGCAGAGGCCACCCCCACCCCGCCACAAAAGAAGGTGCTTCCCCACCGTGCATGCGTGGGGCCCAGGGGACCCTGGGCTTCCCATGCTCACGCATTCAGAGCGCCTCGAGCGCACGGGGTCCAGCCCAAGGTGGCAGGGAGGCTTGAAAAGGGAGGTCGAGACGCCTGTGGTGTGGCAGGAAAAAAGAATCGGCGCGGCAGATGTACCTCCACCAAATGCGCATAAGTGCTTCCCCACTGCGAATGCGTGGGGTCCAGGGTACCCTGTGCCTCCCAGGTTCGCGGCCATGGAGCACCTCGGGCCCATGGGAGCCAGCCCAAGGCAACAGGGAGGCTTGAAAGGGGAGGTCGAGGCGCCTGTGGTGTGGCAGGAAAACAGAAAAGGCGCAGCAAAGGTCCCCTACCAAGGGCGAAAGTGCCTTGCATGCACAGGACCCGGGGGACACTTGGCCTCCCAGGTTTGCACCCACGGAGCGCCTCGGGCCCAAAGGGCCAGCGTAAAACAGCAGCGAGGCTTGAAAGGGCAGGTCGAGGCACCTGTGGAGGGAAAAAAAACCTCCGCTGTAGAGCAAGGGTCTTTCCCCCTGGCCCCAACCACGCCCCCGCTGCCGCGCATGTGCGGGGTCCCAGGGAACCTGGGCTCCCGATTTCACGCCCCCAGAGTGCCTGGGCCCCGTGGGGGCGCCACGCAAAGGGGCAGGGAAACGTGAAAGGGGAGGTCGATGCACCAATGGAAGGAAAAAATACCAGTGTTGCAGAGCTGGGGTCTTGCCCGTGGCCAACTCTACACCCACCCTGCCGTGCATGCGTCCAGTCCTGGGAACCCTGGGGTCCCAGGTTTGTGCCCCCGGAGTGACTGGGCCCCACGGGGGGCAAAGAGGCTGGTAGTCTTGAAAAAGGATGTCGAGGCACCGGTGGAATGAAAATACCTGGAGAGGCAGAGCAGGGGTCTTGGCCCCTGCCCCCTCCCCCACCCCACGCCATCCCTTCCACGCATGCGCAGGGCTTGAAAGGGGAGGTCAAGGCACCAATGGAAGGAAAAAAACTGGCAAGGCAGAGCAGGGGTCTTGGCCCCTGGCCCGCCCCACGCTTTCCTGTCCCACATGTGCTGGTTCCCGGGGACCCTGGGGTACCGGGTTCACGACCCCGGAGCGTCTGGACCCCGTGGAGGGGCCGCCCAAAGAGGCAGGGAGGCTTGAAAGTGGAGGTCGAGGCACCGGTGGAAGGAAAAAATACCAGTGAGACAGAGCAGGGGTCTTGGCTCCTGGACCACCACGACACCCTGCCTTGCAGGTGCGGGGTCCCGGGTACCCTGAGGTCCCAGGTTCGTGCCCCTGCAGTGGCTGGGCACTGCGGGATGCCGCACAGAGTGGCAGGGAGGCTTGAAACTGGAGGTCGTGGCACCAGTGGAAGGAGAAAAAACCGCCACAGTAGAGCAGGGTTCTTGGCCCCTTCCTCGGCACCAAGCCACCCCTGCTGTGCATGCGCGGGGATTGAAATGGGATTTCGAGGCACCGGTGGAAGAAAAAAAACTGGTGGGGCAGAGCAGGGGTCTTGGCCCCTTGCCCTCCCCACGCTCCCCCTGACACCCAAGCTTGGGGTCTCAGGGACCCTGGGGTCCCAGGTTCGCACCACCAGAGTGGCTGGACCTCGCGAGGGGCGGCGAAGACGCAGGGAGTCTTGAGAGGGGAGGTTGAGGCACCGGTGGAAGGAAAAAAAGGCAAAGCAGAGCAGGGGTCTTGGCCCCTGCCGCCCCCCAACGCCCCTCCTGCCACACATGCGTGGAGTCCCAGGGAACCTGGGGTCCCAGGCTTGCGCCCCTGGAGCGGCTGTGCTCCGCGGAGTTCCGTCCAAAGCAGCAGGGAGTCGTGAAAGTGGAGGTCAAGGCACCTGTGGAAGGAAAGAAAAACAGCGCGGCAGAGCAGGTTTCTTGGCCCCTGGCCAACCCCTCGCTCCCCCTGCCGCACATGCGCGGGTCCCAGGGACCTTGGAGTACCGGGTTCACGATCCCGGAGGGGCTGGACCCTGGGTGGGGTAGCCAAAGAGGCAGGGAGGATTGAAAGGGGAAGTTGAGGCACCCGTGGAAGGAAACAAAACTGGCGAGGTAGAGCAGGGTTCTTGGCTTCTGCCCCGCACCGTGACCCACCTGCCGCGCATGCGCAGGCACCCGTTATGGCCCCCGGAGCCGCTGGGCCCCGCAGGGTGCCGCTCAAAGCGGCAGGGAGGCTTGAAAGGGGAGGTCGAGGCACTCCTGGAATGATAAAAAAACCGGCATGGCAGAGCAGATATCTTGGCCCCTGGCCAACCCCACCCTCACTCTGCCGCACATGCGCGGTGTCCCGGGGAACCTGGGGTCTCGAGTGCGCGCCCCGTCTGCGGCCGCCCAAAGCGTCAGGGAGGCCTGAAAGGGGAGGTCAAGGCACAGGTGGTAGAAAAAAACCTGCCGCGGTAGAGGAGGGGTCTTGGTCCCCGGGCCTCCCTACGCCGCCCCTGCCTTGCATGCTTTGGGTTCCAGGGACCCTGTGGTGGAGGGCTCTTGCCCCCGGAGTGGCTGGACCCCTCAGGAGCCGCCCGAATAGGCAGGGTGTCTTGAAAGGGGTGATTGAGGCACCGGTGGAAGGAAAAAAAACTGGCGAGGCAGAGCGGGAGTCTTGGCCCCTGGCTCCCACCACACCGCCCCTTCTGCGCATGCAGGGGGTCCCGGGGACCCTAGGGTACCGGGATCGAGTCCCTGGAGCGACAAGGCCCGCGGGGTGCCGCCCAAAGTGGCAGGAAGGCTTGAAAGAGAGGTAGAGGCACCTGTGGAAGGAAAAAAAATCGGCGCGATAGAGCAGGGGTCTTGGACCCTGGTCACCCCCACACCACCCCTGCCGTGCATAAGCAGGGTCCTAGGCTCGCGCCCTCGGAGCAGCTGGTCCCCTGGGGTAGCCGCCCACAGCCGCAGGGAGGCTTGAACGGGGAGGCCGAAACACTGGTGGAAGGAAAAAACCGGTACCGCAAAGTGGGGCTCTTGGCCCCCGGCCAACCCCAAGTCCCACCTGCTGCGCATGCACTGGGTCCTGAGGACCCTGAGGTCCGGGGTTCACACCCCCGGAGAGGCTGGACCCCGCGTGGGTTAGGCCAAATAGGCAGGGAGGCTTGAAACGGGAGGTCGAGGCACCGGTGGAAGGAAAAAAACCCAGCGAGGCAGAGCAATGGTCTTGGCCCCTGGCGCCCGTACCCTCCCCCTGCTGCACATGCGCAGGGTCCTGGGGACACTGGGGTACTGGATTTGCGCCCCAGAGCGGTTGGACCATGCAGGGGGCCGCCCAAAGAGGCAGGGAGGCTTGAAAAGGGAAGTTGAATCACTAGTGGAAGGAAAAAAAAAAAAAAACGGCGAGGCAGAGCAGGGGTCTTGGCCCCTTGTCCCCTCCACACCCACCCTGCCACGTATGCCTGGGGTGCCGGGGACCATGTTATCCCTGGTTCGCACCACCGGAGCGGCTGGGCCCCGTGGGTCGCCGCCCAAAGGGACAGGGATGCTTGAAAATGGAGGTCGAGGCACCGGTGGAAGGAAAAAAAACGGCACAGCAGACCAGGGCCCTTGGCCCCTGGCAAACCCCACGCACCCCCTGCCGCACATGCGCGGTGTCCCAGGTACCCTGGGGTCCCGGGTTTGCACGTGCAAAGCAGCTGGACCCCGCTGGGGGCCGCCCAAAGAGGCAGGGAGGCTTGAAAGTGGAGGTAGAGGCACCAGTGCAAGGAAAAACAACCGCCACAGTAGAGCAGGGTTCTTAGCCCATGGCCCCGCCCACCCCACCCCTGCTGCGCATGCACGGGGTAGCGGGGACCCTGGGGTCCCGGTTTCGCGCGCCTGGAGCAGCTCTACCCCGCGGGCCGCCGCCAAAAAGCAGGGAGGCTTGAAAGGGGAGGTCGAGGCACCGGTGGAGAAAAAAATACTGGCGCGGCGGAACAGGGTTCTTGACGCCTGGCCAACCCCACACCTCTACTGCCGTGCATGCGCGGGGTCCCGGGGACCTAGGGGTCCCCGGTTTGCACCCCCGGAGCGGCTGGACCCCTTGGGGGGCCGCCCAAAGGGGCAGGGAGGTTTGAAAGTGGAGGTCGAGGCACCGGTGGAAGAAAAAAACCGGCGGGGCAGAGCAGGGGTCTTGGCTCCTGGCTCCACCCACGCCCCCTCTGCCATGCATAAGCTTTGTCCTGTGAACCCTGGGATCCCAGATTCGCGCCCCCGGAGCGGCTGGACCCTTCGGGGGACTGCCCAAAGAGGCAGGGAGGCTTGAAATGGGAGGTCGAGGCACCGATGGAAGGAAAAATAACTGGCAAGGCAGAGCAGAGGTCTTGGCCCCTGGACTCCCCACGTCCCCCCTGCCGCATATCCTTGGGGTACTGGGGATCCTGGGCTCCCGGATGAGTGCCCCCAGAGCGGCTGGGCCCCGGGGGGTGCCGCCCAAAGCGGAGGGAGGCTTGAAATGGGAGGTCAAGGCACCGGTGGAAGGAAAAAAAAAAAACAGCGCGGAAGAGCAGGGTTCTTGACCCCTGGCCAACGCACGCCTCCACTGCTGGGTATGCGCGGTTTCCTGGGGACGCTGAGGTCCCGGGTTCGAGGCCCCATATCAGCTGGACACTGCGGGGGACTGCCCAAAGAGGCAGGGATGCTTGAAAAGGGAGGTCGAGGCACTGGAGAAAGGATAAAAAACGCCACGGTTGAGCAAGGGTCTTGGCCCATGGACCCCCACCCACGCACGCCACCACTGCCACGCATGCACGGTGTCCCGGGGACCCTGTGATCCTGGGTTTGGGCCCCTGGAGCGGGTGGACCTCGCGGGGGGCCTCCCAAAGAGGCAGGGAGACTTGAAAGGGGAGGTCGAGGCACTGGTGGAAGGAAAAAAAACCGGCAAGGCAAAGCAGGGTCTTGGCCCTGGCCCCCTTCACGCGCCCCCTTGCTGCGCATGCCTGGGGTCCAGGGTTCGCGCTCCCAGAGCGGCTCGACCCCGCGGGACGACGCCCAAAGAACCAGGGGGTCTTGAAAGGGGAGGTCGAGGCCCTGGGGGAAGGAAAAAATTCGCCGCTGTAGAGCAGGAGTCTTGGCCCATGACCCCCCACACGCCGCCCCTGCCGCGCATGCGTGAGGTCCCCAGGACTCTTGGGTGCTGGGTTCGCGCCCCCGGAGTGGTTGGACATTGCGGGGAGCCGCGAAAAGAAGCAGGGAGGCTTGAAAGGGGAGGTCAAAGCCCCAGTGGAAGGAAAAAAAAACCAGAGCGGCAGAGCAGGGGTCGTGGCCCCTGGCCAATCCCACGCGCCCCCTGCTGCCCATGCGCGGGATTCCGGGTCTGCACCCCTGGAGTGGTTGGTCTCTGCAGCACGCCGCCCAAAGCAGGTAAGAGGCTTGAAATGAAAGGTCCAGGCAAAGAAAAGTCAAGACAGCGGTGGAAGGAAAAAAACTGGCAAGGCAGAGGAGGGATCTTGGACCCTGGTCCCCCCACGCGCCCCCTGCCACGTATGCGCGGGGTCCCGGAGGCCGTTAATTCTCGGGTTCTCGCCCAAGGAGGGGCTGGACCCCCCAGGGGGCAGCCCAAAGAGGCAGGGAGGCTTGAAAGGGGAGGTCGAGGCATCATTGGAAGGAAAAAAAAACCGGCAAGACAGAGCAGGGGTCTTGGCCCCTGGCACCTCCCAACACCCACCCTACCACACATGCGTGGGGTTTCGGAGACCCTGGGGTCCTGGGTTCGTGCTCCCGGAGAGGCTGGGCCCCGGGTTTGCCACCCAAAGTGACAAGGAGGCTTGAAAGTGGAGATCGAGGCACCAGTGGAAGGAAAAAAAAAAGAGATGCAGGGCAGGGATATTGGCCCCTGACCCCACCCCACGCCCAATCTGCCGCGCATGCGCAAGGTCTCTGAGACCCTGGGGTCCAGGGTTCACGACCCCGGAGCGGCTGGACCCAGCAGGGGACTGCCCAAAGAGGCAGGGAGGCTTGAAAGTGGAGGGTGAGGCACTGATAAGAAGGAAAAAAAAACGGCCACGGTAGAGCAGAGGTCTTCGCCCATGGCCACCACGCCATCGCTTCCACGCATGCGCGGGGTCCCTGGGACACAGGGGTCCCGCATTCGCACCCCCGGACAGGCTGGAGACCGCGGGGTCCGCCCAAAGCGTCAGGGAGGCTTCAAAAGGGAGGTCCAGGCACAGGTGGAAGGAAAAAAATCGGCGAGGCAGAGCAGGGGTCTTGGCGACTGGCCCCACCCACGCCCCCTCTGTAGCGCATACGTGGGGTCCAGCGAAACCTGGGGTCCCGGATTTTCGCCCCCGTAGAGGCTGGACCCCGCAAGGTGCCGCCTAAAGAGGCAGGGAGGCTTGAAATGGGAGGTCGAGGCACCGGTGGAAGGAAAATTAACTGGCGAGGCAGAGCAGGGGTCTTGGTCCTTGGACCCCCCCACGCCCTCCCTGCCGCATATGCGTGGTTTCCTGGGGACCCTGGGGTCCAGGGTTCATGCCCCCGGAGAGGCTGGGCCATGCAGGGTGCCGCCCAAAGCTGCAGGGAGGCTTGAAAGGGATGTCGAGGCACCGGTTAAAGGAAAAAAAAACGGCGTGGTAGAGCAGGGGTCTTGGCCCCTGGCCCTGCTCACGCCGACCCTGACGTACATGCGCGTGTACTGGGGACCCCAGGTTCGCGCCACCGGATTGGCAGGGCCCCGCGGGGTGCAGTCAAAAGCAGCACAGAGGCTTGAAAGGGGAGGTTGAGCCACCGGTGGAAGGAAGAAAAACCTGCTCCTGGCCACCCCTCGCCGCCCCTACCGCGCATGCGCGGGGTCCCGGGTACCCTGGAGTCCCTGGATAGCGCCCCCGGAGCTGCTGGGCCCCGCGGGTTGCCGCCCAAAGCGGCAGGGAGGCTTGAAAGGGGAGGTCGAGTCTCCGGTGGATGGAAAACAAACCGGCCCAGTAGAGCAGTTTTCTTGGCCCCTGACCCCCTCCACGCCCGCCCCTGCCGCACTTGCGTGGGGTCTCAGGGAAGTTGGGGTCCCGGGTTCGTGCCCCCAGAGCGGCTCGGCCCCGCAGGGGGCCGCCCAAAGAGACAGGGACGCCTGATAGGGGTCGCCAAGGCACTGGTGGAAGGAAAAACAACCTGGTGTGGCAGAGCAGGTTTCGGGGCCTCTGGCTGCCCCCTGCCACGCATGCGTGGGTTGCCTGGGAAACTGGGGTCTTGAGTTCGCTCCCCTGGGGCGGTTGGGCGCCCCGGGGGCTGCACAAGGCGGCAGGGAGTCTTGAAAGGGGCGGCCTAGGCACCAGTGTAAGGAAAAAATACCCGGCGCGGCAGTGCAAGGGTCTGGGCAACTGGCTGCTCCCTGCTGGGCATGAGAGGGGTCCCAGGTTCGTGCTCCGGGAGCTGCTGGGCCTCGCCTGGGGCCGTCCAAGGCAGCAGGGAGGCTTGAAAGGGGAGGCCAAGGCACTGGTGGAAGGAGGAACAACCCAGTGCGGCAGAGCAGGGGTCTGGGCCCCTGGCCCCACCCTGCCGCGCATACGCGGGATCCCGGGGACTTTGGGGAACTGGGTTCACGCCCCAAGAGTGGCTGGGACCAGCAGGGTGCCGCCAAAGGCGGCAGGGAGTCTTGAAAGCGGAGGCCAAGGCACAGGTGGAAGGAAAAATTCCGGCGAGGCAGAGCAGGGTTCAGGACCCCTGGCTCCCCTCTGCCACACATGCACAGGATCCCAAACACCCCGGGATCCCGGGTTCCCGCCGCCGGAGCTGCTGGGCTCCTCGTGGTACGCCCCAAGGCGGCAGGGAGTCTTGAAAGGGGAGGCCAAGCTACAGGTGGAAGGAAAAGAAACCCGGCGTGGAAGAGCAGGGGTCCGGGCCCCTGGCCCCACCCTGCCGTGCATGCGCTGTTCCCGGGGACCCCGGGGTCCTGGTTTCACGCTCCTGGAGCTGCTGGGCCCCACGTGGTGCCGCCCAAATCAGCAGGGGAGCTAGAACGGGGAGGCAGAGTCACCGGTGGAAAGAAAAAAAACCCGGCACAGCAGGGCAGGGGTCGCGGAACCTGGCCACACCCTGCCGTGCATGCGCGAGGTCCCGGGGACCCTGGGGTCCCGGGTTCGTGCCTCCGGAGCTGCTGGGCCCCATGAGGGACCGCCGAAGGTTGCAGGGAGGCTTGAATGGGGAGGCCGAGGGACCGACACACTGGTGGAAAGAACAACCCAGCGCAGCAGAGCAGGGTTCGGGGCCCCTGGCCCCACGCTGCCACACATGAGCAAGGTCCCAGCGACCCCGTGGTCCTGGGTTTATGCCCTCGGAGCTGCTGGGCCCCGCGGGGGGCCTCCCAAAGCGGCAGGGAGGCCTGGAAGGGGTGGCCGAGGCACTGGTGGAAGGAAGAACAACTCGGCGCTGCAGAGCAGGGTTCAGGGCCCCTGGCTGCCTCTTGCCACGCATGCGTGAAGCCCCGGGGACCCTAGGGTCCCGGGTTCCCACCCCCGGAGTGGCTGGGCCCGCGGGGGGCAGCCCAAGGTGGCAGAGAGGCTTGAAAGGGAAGCCGAGGTACAGGTGGAAGGAAAAAAAACCCGGCGCGGCAGAGCAGGGTCGGGGTCCCTAGTCCATCCCTGCTGTAGATGCACGAGTCCTGGGCACCCCGGGGTCCCAGGTTCGAGCCCCCGGAGCTGCTGGGTCCCGCTGGGGGCCGCCCAAGGCCGCAGGGAGGCTTGAAAGGGGAGGCCGAGACAATGGTGGAAGTAAAAAAAAAACCCGGCGCTGCAGAGCAGGGGTCAGGGCCCTGGCCCCAAGTGGGATCCCCCGGGACCGATGCATGAGCCGCAGGGGTGGGCCAGGGGCCCAGCCGCTCCATGGACACGAATCAGGAACCCTGGTGTTCCCGGGACCCGCGCATGCGCGGCGGGGGGAGCCAGGGGCCCGAACCCTGCTCTGCCTCGCTGGGTTTTTTTCCTTCCACCAGTGCCTCGACCTCCCATTTCAAGCCTGCCTGCCTCGTTGGGCGGCCCCCTGCTGTGTTCAGCTGCTCTGGGGGAGTGAATCTGGGACGCAAGTGTCCCCGGGCCCCCGTGCATGCGTGGCAGGTGGGGCTTGCGGGGGAAGGCCAGGGGCGAAGACCCCTGCTCTGCCTCGCCAGTTTTTATTCCTTCCACCAGTTCCTCGACCTACCCTTTCAAGCCTCCCTGCCTCTTTGGGCGGCCCTACGCGGGGTACAGCCAGTCCTGAGGCGCCAACCCGGGACCCCTGGCCTTTCAAGACTCCCTGCTTCTTTGGCGGCAGGGTCCCCTGGACCACGCGCATGCGCGGCAGGGGTGGCACGAGGAAGGCCCGGGGCCAAGACCCCTGCTCTACATCGTCAGGTTTTCTTCCTTCCACCGGTGCCTCCATCTCCCCTTTCAAGCCTCCCTGCCTTTTTGGGCAGCACCCCACGAGGTCCAGCTGCTCTGGTGGAGCGAACCCAGAACCCCACAGTCCTGGGACCCTGCGCATGCGCGGCAGGGGAGGCGGGGGGAGGGGTCAGGGGCCAAGACCCCTGCTCTGCCTCGCCAGTTTTTTTTCCTTCCACGGGTGCCTCGACCTCCCCTTTCAAGACTCCCTGACTCTTTGGGCGGCTCCTTGTGGGGTGCGAACCCGGGACCCCTGGCCTTTCAAGCCTCCCTGCCGCTTTGGCCGGCATCCCGCGGGGGGACCACCCCCTCCGGGGCGTGAACGGGGGACCCCAGGGTCCCTGGGACACCGCGCATGTGCGGCAGGGTGTGCGTGTGGGGGGCCAGGGGTCATGACCCCTGCTCTGCCTCGCCGGTTTTATTTCCTTCCACCGGTGACTCAACCTCCCATTTCAAGCCTCCCTGCCTCTTTGGGCGGCACCCTGCTGGGTCCAGTCCCTCCAGGGGCGCGAACCCGCGACCTCAGAATCCCTGGACCCCGCGCTTGCGCGGCAGGGGCGGCATGGGGGTTGCAGGGTCCAAGAACCGTGCTCTACCACGGCGGTTTTTTTTTCCTTCCACCGGTGCCTCGACCTCCCCTTTCAAGCATCCCTGCCGCTTTGGGCGGCACCGCGCAGGGCCCAGCCACTCCGGAGGCATGGACCCCGAACCCCAGGGTCCCCAGGACCCCGCACATGAGCAGCAGGGGTGGCATGGGGGAGGCCAGGGGCCAAGACCCCTGCTCTCCCTCGGCAGTTCTTTTTCCTTCCACGGGTGCCTCGATCTCCCCTTTCAAGACTCCCTGCCTCTTTGGGCGGCTCCTTGTGGGGTGCAGCCGCTCCGGGGGGGTGAACCCGAGACCTCAGGGTCCCTAGGACCCCGCACATGCATGGCAGCGGGGGCGTGGGGAAGGCCAGCGGCTAAGACCCCTGCTCTGCCTCGCCAGTTTATTTTCCTTCCACCGGGTCCTCGACCTCAACTTTCAAGCCTCCCTGCCTGTTTGGGCTGCCCCGCAAGGGATCTAGCCACGCCGGCGGTGCAAACCTGGGAGCCCAGGGTCCCCGGGATCCTGCGCATGTGCAGCAGGGGCGGTGTGGGTGGGGCCATGAGCCAAGACCCCCGCTCTGAGGCGCCAGAATTTTTCCTTTCACCGGTTCCTCGACCTCCCCTTTCAAGCCTCTCTGCCTCTATGTGCGGCCCCCCGCGGGGTCAGGCCACTCCGGGGTCGCGAATCTGGGACCTCAGGGTGTCCGGGACCCCGCACATGCATGGCAGGGATGGCGTGATATGGGCCATGGGCCAAGACCCCTGCTCTACCGCGGCTTTTTTTTCCTTTCACCGGTGATTCGACCTCCCATTTCAAGTCTCCCTGCCTCTTTGGGCAGCCCCCCGCAGTGTCCAGCCGCTCGGGGAGTGCAAACCCGGGACCCCGTGTATGCACCGAATGGGGTGCGTGGTTTTGGACAGGGGCCAATACCTCTGCTCTGCCTCGCCGGTGTTTTTTCCTTCCACTGGTGCCTCGATCTCATTTTTCAAGCCTGCCTGACTATTTGGGCAGTCCCCCGTCTGGTCCAGCTGCTCCGGGGCACGAACCCTGGACATCGTACATGCGTGGCAGTGGTGGCATGGGGGGGGGGGTACCGGGGGCCAAGAACCCTGCTCAGCCTTGCCCGTTTTTTTTCCTTCCACAGGTGCATCGACCTCCCATTTCAAGCCTCCTTGCTGCTTTGAGCAGCACCCCGCGGGGCCCAGCTGCTCCGGGGGCGTGAACCCGGGACCCCAGCATCCCCAGTACCCCACGCATGTGCGGCAGGGTGAGCGTTGGTGGGGACAGGGGCCAAGAACCCTGCTCTGCCTCGCCGTTTTTTTTTTCTTCCACTGGGGCATTGACCTCCCCTTTCAAGCCTCCCTGACTCTTTGGGCGGGCCCCCGCGGGTTCCAGCCACTCCAGGGGCGTGAACCCGGGACTCCCCGGTCCCTGGGACCCCGCGCATGCGTGGCAGGGGCGTCATGGGGTGGGCCATGTGCCAAGACCCCTGCTCTAAAGCAGCCGTTTTTTTTCCTTCCCCCAGTGCCTCATCCTCCCCTTTCAATCCTCCCTGCCGCTTTGGGCGGCACCCCGCGGGGCCCAGCCGCTCCGGGGGCACGAACTCCGGACGCCGCGCATGAGCGGCAGGGGTGTGCATGGGGGTGCCAGGGACCAAGAACCGTGCTCTACCGCGCCGGATTTTTTTCCTTCCACCGGTGCCTCGACCTCCACTTTCAAGCCTCCCTGCCGCTTTGAGCAGCACCCCGCAGGGTCCAGCTGCTCCAGGGCGTGAAGCTGGGACCCCAGGGTCTCTGGGACCCCGCGCATGCGTGGCAGGGTGTGCGTGAGGGGGGCCAGGGGCCAATAACCTTGCTCTGCCTCGCCAGTGTTTTTTCCTTCCACTGGTGCCTCGACCTTCACTTTCAAGCCTCCCTGCCGCTTTGAAAGGCACCCTGCGGGGCCCAGCCGCTCTGGGGTCATGAACGCGGGATCCCGCCCATGCACAGCACAGTGGGCATGGGTGTGCAAGAGGCCAAGTGCCCTGCTCTGCCTCACCGGTTTTTATTCCTTCCATTGATTCTTTCACCTCCCCTTTCACGTCTCTCTGCTGCTTTGAGCGGCACCCCGCAGGGTCCAGCCGCTCCGGGGGCGTGAACCCAGGACCCCAGGGTCCCCAGGAACCCGTGCATGCACAGTAGGGTGGGCGTGGTGGTGCATGCGGCCAAGAACCCTGCTCTGCCTCTCCGTTTTTTTTTTCCTTTGGTGCCTCGACATCCCCTTTCAAGCCTCCCTGTCGCTTTGAGAGGCACCCCGCGGGTTCCAGCTGCTCCAGGGCTATGAAGCTAGGACACCAGGGTCTCAAGGACCCCGCGCATGCATGGGAGGGGGTGCGTGGCGGGGAGCAGGGGCCAAGACCCCTGCTCTGCCTCGCCAGTTTTTTTCCTTCCACCGGCGCCTCGACCTCCCCTTTCAAGCCTCCGTGCCTCTTTGGGCAGCAACCTGCGGGGTCCAGTCACTCTGGGGGCGCAAACCCAGGAACCAAGAGTCCCCGTAACCCCGCACATGCGCCGCAGGAGCGGCGTTGGCGGGGCCAGGGGCCAAGACCCCTGCTATGCCTCGCCGGTTATGTTCCTTCCACTGGTGCCTCGATCTCCCCTTTCAAACCACCCTGTCTCGTTGAAAGGCCCCCTGCGGGTTCCAGCACTCCCAGAGTGTGAACGTGGGATCCCTGGCCTTAAACTTGGCCTTGAACTTGAACTTAAACTTGGACTTGGAACTGGCCTTGAACTTGGACTTTGACTTGGCCTTGGCCTCGCCCGTTTTTTTGCGTTCCACCGGTGCCTCTACGTCCTCTTTCAAGCCTCCCTGCACCTTTGGGCGGCCCCCCCACCATGTCCAGCCGCTCCGGTCGCGCGAACCGGGCATTCCAGGGTCCCCAGGACCCCGCGCAGTGCACGGCAGGGTGGGCGTAGGGGGGGCCAGGGTCCGAGAACCCTGCTGTGCCTGGCCGGTTTTTTTCCTTCCACTGGTGCCTCGACCTCTCCTTTCAAGTGTCCCTGCTGCTTTGGGCGGCACCCCGCGGGGCCCAGCCACTCCGTGGGTGCAAACCCGGGACCCAGTGCATGCACAGCAGGGAGACATGGGTGGGGCTAGAAGCCAAGACCCCTGCTCAGCCTCGCCAGTTTTTTTTTTTTCCACCGGTGCCTCAACATCCCCTTTCTTCGACCTCACTTTTCAAGCCTCCCTGCCTATTGGGGCAGCCCGCCGCTGGGTCGAGCCGCTCTGGGGGCGTGAACCCAGGACCTCAGGGTCCCTGGGACCCCATGCATGCGAAGCAGGGAGTGTGTGTGGTTGGCCAGGGGCCAAGAACCCTGCTCTGCCTCGCCGGTATTTTTTCCTTCCACCGGTGGCTCGACCTCCCATTTCAAGCCTCCCTGCCTCTTTGGGGAGCCCGCCGTGGGGTCCAGCCACTCTGGGGGCACGAACCCGGCACCCCAGGGTCCCCTGGACCCCGTGCATGAGCGGCAGGGGGAGCGTGGTGTGGACCAGGGGCCAAGACCCCTGCCCTGCTGCGCAGGTTGTTTTTCCTTCCACCCTTGCCTCGACCTCCCATTTTGGGCCTCCCTGCCACTTTGGGCAGCTCCCCCTAGGGCTCAGCCGCTCCCAGGCGTGAACCCAGGACCCCAGGTTCCCTAGAACAGCGCGAATGCACTGCAGAGTGCGTGTGGGCTTCGCCAGGGGCCAAGATCTCTGCTCTGCCTCCTCGGTTTTTTTCCTTACCCCAGTGCCTCGACCTCCCATTTCAAGCCTCCCTGCCGCTTTAGACGGCACCCTGTGGGGCCCAGCAGCTCCGGGGGCGCGAACCCCAGATCCCCATGTCCCCAGGAGCCCTAGCATGCCAACAGCTCCCAGCCTCTTTGGGCCACCCGCCACGCGGTCCAGCTGCTCCGGGGGCACGAACCCGGTACCCCAGTGTCCCCAGGACCCCGTACATGCGCGGCAGGGATGGCGTGGGGGCTGCGGGGAAGGGGCCAAGACCGTTGCTCTACCATGGCGGATATTTTTTCTTTCCACTGCTGCCTCGACCTCCCCTTTCAAGCCTCCCTGCCACTTTGGGCAGCACCCTGCATGGCCCAGCTGCTCAGGGGGAGCGAATGCGGGACACCGTGCATGGGGGATGGTGAGACACGGCGGGGCGGGGGCTAGGTTCCAAGACCCCTGCTCTGCCTCACCATTTTTTTTCCTTCCACCGTTGCCTTGACCTCCCCTTTCAAGCCTCCCTGCTCTGCTTCGTCGGTTATTTTTTTCCTTCCACCGGCGTGTGGACCTCTCCTTTCAAGTCTCCCTGCCTCTTTGGGCGGCCCCCGCTGGGTCCAGCTGCTCTGGGGGCGCGAACCCGGGACCCCAGGGTGTCTGGATCCCGCAAATGCATAGCAGGGGTGGCATGGCGTTGGCCAGGGACCAAGACACCTGCTCTGCTGCGCAGGTTTTTTTTCCTTCCACCGCTGCCTTGACCTACCCTTTCAGGCCTCAATGAGTTTTTGGGCGGCCCCCCGATGTGTCCAGCAGCTCCGGGGGCACGAACCCGGGACCCCAGAGTCCCAGAGACCCCGTGCATATGCGGCAGGGGCGGTGTCCGGGGGACCAGGGGCCAAGACTCGTGCTCTACTGCTTCGTTTTTTTTCTTTCCATGGGGACCACGATCTCCACTTTCAAAACTCCCTGCCGCTTTGGACGGCACCCCGAGGGGCCCAACCTCACCAGGAGCACGAACCCGGGACCCAGTGTCCCCCGGACCCCGCGAATGCGCGGCAAGGGGTGCATGGGTGGGGCCAGGGGCCAAGAACCCTGCTGTGCCTCGCCAGTTTTTTTCCTTCCACCGGTGCCTCGACCTCCCCTTTCAAGCCTCCCTGCCTCTTTGTGCTGCCCGCTGCGGGGTCCACCCGCTGTGGGGCCACCCACTCCGGGGGAGCGAACCCTGGACCCCAGGATCCCAGGACCCCAAAGATATGCGGCAGGGGGCACGTTGGGGGTCCAGGGGCCAAGATCTCTGTTCTGCCTCACTTGTTTTTTTTCCTTCCATCAGTGCCTTGACCTCCTCTTTCAAGCCTCCCTGCCTCTTTGGGCGGCCCCCCGAGGGGTCCAGCTGCTCTGGAGGCGCGAACCTGGGACCCCACTGTCCCGGAACCCTGCTCATGTGTGGCTGGAGGGACGTGGGGTGGGGCCAGGGGCCAAGATCCCTGCTCTGCCTCTACAGTTTTTCTTTCCTTCTACCTGTGCCTGCACGTCTCCTTACTTCAACCTCCCCTTTCAAGCCTCCCTGCCCCTTTAGGCGGCCCGACGCAGGGTCCTGCCGGTCTGGGGGCGCGAACCCAGGACGCCAGGTTCCCCACGACCCTGGACTTGCACGGCGGGGGGACGTGGTGTTGGCCAGGGGCCAAGACCCCTGCTCTGTCACGCCAGTTTTTTGTCCTCCCACCGGTGCCTCGAACTCCCATTTCAAGCCTCCCTGTCTCTTTGGGTGGGGCTTCCTAGGGCCCAGCCACTCTGGGGGTGTGAACGCGGGACCCTGTGCATGTGCTGCAGGTGTGGCGTGGTGGGGCCAGGGGCCAAGACGACTGCTCTATCAAGCCAGTTATTTTCATTCCACCGGTGCCTGGATCTCCTCTTTCAAGCCTCCCTGCCGGTTTGGGCGGCACCCCGCGGGGCCCAGCAGCTCCGGCAGCGCAAACCCAGGACCTCAGGGTCTTTGGGACGCCACGCATGCGTGGCATGTTGTGGGTGGCGGGGGCCAGGGGCCAAGGCCTCTGCTCTGCCTCGTCGTTTTTTTCCTTACCCCAGTGCCTCGACCTCCCCTTTCAAGGATCCCTGCCTCTTTGGGCCGCCCCCCGCGGTGTCCAGCAACTCCGGCAGCGCGAACCCCGGACCCTGCGCATGCGCGGCAGGGGGTGTGTGGGGTTGGCCAGGGGCCAAGGCCCTTGCTCTGCCGCGCCGGTATTTTTTCCTTCCACGTGTGCCTCAACCTCCCCTTTCAATTCTCCCCGCCGGTTTTAGCGGCGCCTTCCGGGGCCCAGCTACTGAGGGGACGCGAACTCGGGAGACCAGGGTCCCCGGGACCCCACGCATGCGCGGCAGGTGTGGCGTGGGGGTGGCCAGGGGCCTAGAACCCTACTCTACCGCGCCATTTTTTTTCCTTAAACCAGTGCCTTGACCTCCCCTTTCAAGCTTCCCTGCCGCTTTGGGTGGCACCCCGCAGGGCCCAGCCACTCTGGGGGCGTCAACCCGGGACCCCACGCATGCGTGGCAGGAGGGATGGGTGACCAGGTGCCAAGACACCTGCTCTGCCTCACCAGTTTATTTCCTTCCACCGGTGTCTCGACCTCCCCGTTCAAGCCTCCCTGCCTCTTTGAGAGGCCACCCGCGGGGTCCAGCCACGCTGTGGGCATGAAACCGGGACCCAGGGTCCCCGGAACCCCATGCATGTGGGGAAAGGGGGGCGTGGGATTGGCCAGAGGCCAAGACATTTGCTCTATTGTGCCGGTTTTTCATCCTTCCACCAGTGCCTCGACCTCCACATTCAAGCTTCCCTTCCGCTTTGGGCGTCACCGCTCAGGGCCCAGCCACTCCAGGAGTGGGAACACGGGACCCAGGGTCCCGGAGACCCCGCGCATGCGCAGCATGGGGGGCTTGGTGTGGGCCAGGGGCCAAGACCACTGCTCTACAGTGGCGTTTTTATTTCCTTCCACCGGTGCTTCGATCTCTCTTTTCAAGCCTCACTGCCGCTTTGGACGGCAACCCGCTGGGCTCAGCCGCTCCGGGGGTGCGAACCCAGGACTCCGCGCATGCGTGGCGGGGGGGGCTTGGGGGAGCCAGGGATCAAGACCTGTGCTCTGCCTCGCCGGCTTTTTTCCTTCCACTGGTGACTCAACCTCCCCTTTGAAGCCTCCCAGCCCATTTGGGCGGCCCCCTGTGAGGTCCAGCCACTCCGGGGCACAAGTCCCGAACCCCAGGGTCCCCAGAAACATAAGCATGTGTGGCAGGTGGGGCGTGGTGTTGACCAGCGGCCAAGACCCTTTCTCTGCTGCGCCGTTTATTTTCCTTCCGCCGGTGACTCGACCTCCCCTTTCAAGCCTCCGTGCCGCTTTGGACGGGGCCCCCAGGGGCCAAGCCACTCCCCGGACCCCACACATTCGCGGAAGGGGCGGCGTGGGGGTGGCCAGGGGCCAAGACCCTTGCTCTGCCTCGCCTGTATTTTTTCCTCCGCTGTAGACTCAACCTCCCTTTTGAAGCCTCCCAGCCCCTTTGGGCGGCCCCCAGCAGGGTCTAGCCGCTCCGGGGGCACGAACCCCGGACCCCAGGGTCCCCAGGAACACGCGAATGCACGGCATGTGGGGCGTGGTGTTGACCAGGGGCCAAGACCTCTTCTTTGCTATGCAGTTTTTTTTTCCTTTCACCGGTGCTTCGACCTCCGCTTTCAAGCTTCCGTGATGCTTTGGGCGGGGACCCCCGGGGCCAAGACGCTCCGGGGGCACGAACCCGGGACCCCAGGGTACCCATGACCCCATGCATTCGCGGAAGGGGTGGCATGGGGGTGGCGAGGGGCCAAGACCCTTGCTCTGCCTCGCCGGTTTTTTTTCCATCTACCTGTGCCTCGACCTCTCCTTTCAAGCCTCCCTGCCCCTTTGGCGGCCCGCACGGAGTCCAGTCGCTCCGCGGGCATGAACCCAGGACCCCAGGGTCCCTCAGACCCCACACATGCGTGGCAGGGTGTGTAGGGTTGGCCAGGTGCCAAGACCTCTGCTCTGCCTCGCCGCTTTTTTCCTTCCACCAGTGCCTCGACCTCCCCTTTAAAGCATTCCTGCTGCTTAGGGCAGTGCCCCAAGGGCCCAGCCACTCCAAGGCACGAACCGGGGACCCCAGAGTCCCCGGGACCCAATGCATGCACCGCAGGAACGGCTTGGTGGGGGATGGGGCCAAAAACCCTACTCTGCCACACTGGTTAATTTTCCTTCCACCCCTACCTCGACCTCCCCTTTCAAGCCTCCCTGCCACTTTGGATTGCACCGTGCGTGGCCCAGCCACTCTGGGGGAGTGAACCCGGGACCCCAGGGAACCAGGGACCCCGCGCATGCGCGGCAGGTGGGGCCTGGTGGGGGGGGGCCAGGGCCAAGACCCCTGCTCTGCCTCGACCTCCCCTTTCAAGCATCCCTGCCACTTTGTGCGGTGCCCCCCAGGGCCCAGCCACTCGGTGGCATGAACCTGGGAACCTGCACATGCTTGGCAGGGTTGGCGTGGGGGGGGTGCAGGGGCCAAGACCCCTGCTCTGCCTTGCCTGTTTTTTTTTCCTTCCACCGGTGTGTCCACCTCCCAAGTCTCCCTGTCTCTTTGGGTGGCCCCCCGCGGTGTCCAGCCACACCAGCGGCTCGAACCCGGGACACCGCGCATGCACGACAGGGAGGGCATGTGGGGGCCAAGGGCCAAGACCCCTGCTCTACTGCACCGGTTTTTTTTCCTTAAACCGGTGCCTCATCCTCTCCTTTCAAGCCCCCATGCCACTTTGGGTGGCACCCTGAGGGGCCCAGCCACTCCGGCGGCGCAAACCCGGGACCCTAGGTTCTTCACGACCCCACGCATGCGTGGCAGGGGCAGCGTGGTTGGGGCCAGGGGCCAAGACCCCAGCTCTACTGTGCCGGTATTTTTTTTCCTTTTGGCCCACTTGGGCCCGAGGCGCTCCATGGTCACTAACCTAGGAGGCCCAGGGTCCCCTGGCCCCCGCGCATGCGCTGTGGACAGGCACTTTTGCCTGTAGGGTAGGACCTCTGCCACGCCGTTTCTGTTTTCCTGCCACACCACGGGCGCCTCAACCTCCCATTTCAAGCCTCCCTGCCCCCTTTGGGCTGGCCCCCCGCTGGCCTGAGGCGCTCCTTGGACATGAACCTGGGAGACCCACGGTCCTCTGGCCCCCACGCATGCACTGTGTGGAGTCACTTTCGATCATGGGGAGGAACCCTGCTGTACCTTTTCTGTTTTCCTGTCACACCAGAGGTGCCTCGACCTCCCCTTTACAACCTCCCTGCTGCCTTGGGCTGGCCCCCGTGGGCTCCAGGCCCTCCGTGGGCGTGAACCTGGGAGGCTCTTGGTTCCCTTTGCCCCACGCATGAACTGTGGGGAGGCACTTTCGCCCGTGGGTGGGGACTTCTGCTGTGCCTTTTCTGTTTTCCTGCCACACCACAGGCGCCTCGACCTCCCCTTTCAAGCAGCCCTGTTGCTTTAGGCTGGCTCCCGTGGGCCTGAGGCGCTCTGTAAGTGCGAACCTAAGAGGCTCAGGATCACCTGGGCTGCGCGCATGCGCGGTGGGGAGGCAATTCCGCCCGTGGGGCGGGCCCTCTCCTGTGCCGTTTCTCTTTTCCTGCCACACCACAGGCGCCTCGACCACCCCATTCAGGCCTCCATGCCGCCTTCGGCTGGACCCCGTGGACCTGAGACGCTCCGTGGTTGAGAACCTGGGAGGCTCAGGGTCCCCCGGGCCCCTCACATGCACAGTGTGGAGGGACTTTTGCCTGAGGACGGGGATCTCTGCCGCACCATTTCTGTTTACCTGACACACCACAGGTGTCTCAATCTCCCCTTTCAATCCTCCCTGCCACCTTGGGCTGGACCCGTGGGCCCGAGGAACTCCATGGGAACCAACCTGAGAGGCCCAGAGTCACCTGGGCCCAGTGCATGCGCAGAGGGGAGGCACTTTTGCCCCTGGTGGGTGACCTCTTTTGCACTGTTTCTGTTTTCCTGCCACACCACAGGTGCCACAACCTCCCATTTCAAGCCATCCAGCCGCTTTGGGCTTGTCCCCGTGGGCCTGAGGCCTTCCGTTGGGGCAAACCTGGGAGACTCAGGGTCCCTGGGGCCCCACACATGCACAGTAGGTATGTACTTTAGTCCGTGGGTGGGGAATTCTGCCACGCCATTTCTGTTTTCCTGTCACACCCCAATCGCCTCAACCTCCCCTTTCAAGTGTCGCTGTCACATTAGGCTGGCCCCCATGGGCCTGAGGCACTCTGCAGCACAAAGCTGGGAGGCCCAGGGTCCTCTGGACACCACGCATGCGAGGCACTTTTGCCCATGGTGGGGGACCTCTGCCATGCCGTTTCTGTTATCCTGCTACACCACACGTGCCTCAACCTTTCCTTTCAAGCCTCCCTGCCTCCTTGGGCTGGCCCCCGTGGGCCCGAGGCACTGTGTGTCCAGGAACCAGTGAGGTCCAGGGTACCCTGGGCACCATGCATGTGCGGTCGGGAGGCATTTTCGCTAGCGGGGGGAGACTTCTTCCGCGTCATTTCTGTTTTCCTGTCATACCACAGGTGCCTCGAACTTCCCTTTCAAGCCTCCTTGCCGCCTTGGGCTTGCCCTTTGGGCCCGAGGCCCTCAGTGGGCATCAATCTGGGAGACCCAGGGTCCACTGGGCCTCGTGCATGCGCTGTGGGGAGTCAATTTTGCTCATGTGGGGGGGGACTTCTGCCACTCCATTTCTGTTTTCCTGTCACACCACAGGTGCTTCGAACTCCCCTTTCAAGCGTCCCTTCTGCTTTGGGCTGGCCCTGACGAGCCCGAGGCACTCCGTGGGCGTGAACCTGGGAGTCCCAGGGTCCCCTAGGCTCTGTGCATGAGCGGTGGGGAGGCACTTTTGCCTATGGCAAGGGGACCTTTGCTGCTGCGCCTTTTCTATTTTCCTGACACACCACAGTCGCCTCAACCTCCCCTTTCAAGCCTCCCTGCCGTCTTGGGCTGGCCACCACTGGCCCAAAGTGCTCCGTGGGCACGAAACTAGGAGACCCAGGTTCCCCTGGGCCCCGTGCTTGCATGGAGGGGAGACACTTTTGCCCGTGGGTGGGGACCTCTGCCGTGCCATTTCTGTTTTCCTGCCACACCACAGGCGCCTCGACATCCCCTTTCAAGCCTCCCTGCTGCCTTCGGCTGGACCCCATGGGCCCAAGGTGCTTTGTGGCAGTGAACCCGGGAGGCCCAGGGTCCCCTCGGCCCTGCGCACGTGCACTGCTGAATCACTTTCTCCTGTAGGGGTAGACCTCTGCCGCGCGGTTTCTTTTTACCTGCCACACCACAGGTGCCTCGACCTACCCTTTCAAGCCTTTGGGGTGGTACGGCAGAGGAGGGTGCCTGGGCCCCCCCCACAGAAGAAAGTGCCTCCCAGAAGCCTCTGCGTTGCGCCCCAGGCATCCTGGTGTCCCTGGTTCACACCCACGGAGCGAGTTGCAATCGCGGGGGGCAACCTATTGCGGCAAGAAGGCCCAGAAGGGAAGATAAGTCTTGAAAGGGGAGGTAGAGTCAACTGTGGAAGGAAAAAAAAAATGGCGTGGCCAAGGAGGGGGATTTGGGTCACCTCACGGATGAAAGTACCTTCCCAGCCGCCTCTGTGCGAGGCCCCGGGGAACCTATCATCTCTGGTTCGCACCTATGGTGTGTGTCGCTCCAGTGGGAGGCAGCCCAAAGTGGCAGGAAGGCGCAGAAGGGAAGATAAGGCTTGAAAGGGGAGGTAGAGGCACCTGTGGAAGGAAAAAAAATGGTGTGGCCAAGGAGGGGGGTCTAGGTCCACCCACAGAGGATAGTGCCTTCCCCCCAGCCCCTGCACAGGGCCCCAGTGATCCTGGCATTTCTGGTTCACAAACATGGTGCGTGTCGCCCATGCGTGGAGCACCTCTGTGTGGAAATAGGGCCCAGAAGGGAAGATAAGGGTTAAAAGGGGAGGTAGAGGCACCTTTGGGAGGAAAAAAAAAAAAGGCGAGGCAAAGGAGGGGGGCCTGGGTCCACCCGCAGATGAAGGTGCCTTCCAGGAGACCTTGCGTGGGGCCCCGGGGATCTTGGCATCACTTGTTGACACCCATAGTGCTTGTCACACACATGGGGGCACCCCTAATAGGCACGGAGGCCCACAAAGGAAGATAAGGCTTGAAAGGGGAGGCAGAGGCACCTGTGGAAGGAAAAAAAAAACTGCGCAGCAGAGGAAGTGGGCCTGGTTCCCCGCATTTACGAAGTGCCTTCCCAGCAGCCCCTGCGCGGAGACCCGGCAATGCTGGCATCCCTGATTCACACCCACAGTGCATGTCACGCCCACAGAAGGTACCCCAAAGCATCGAGAATGCCCAGAATGGAAATTAAGTCTTGAAAGGGGAGGTAGAGGAACCTGTAGAAGGAAAGAAAAAATGACGCAGGAGAGGAGGGGGGTATGGGTCCCCCCATGAATGAAAGTACCTTCTCAGCAGCCCCTGCGCTGGGACCCAGGGATACTGGCATCAGAGGTTCCCACCCACAGTGCATGTCACTCCCACGGGGGTCACCCCAAAGCAGCAAGAATGCCCAGATGGCAAGACACTGCTTGAAAGGGGAGGTAGAGTCACCTGCAGAAGGAAAAATAACAGCGTGGCAGAGGAGGGGTCCTGGGTCTCCCCACCTACAAAAGTGATTACCCAGCATCCCCTGTGAGTGGCCCCGGGCATCCTGGTGTCCCTGGTTCACACCCACTGTGCGAGTTGCAACCACAGGGGCAACCCAATGTGGCAAGAAAGCCCAGAAGGGAAGATAAGGCTTGAAAGGGGAGGTAGAAGCACTTGAGGAAGGAAAATAAATGGCACGGCCAAGGTTGGGGGCCTGGTTCCTCCCAAAGGTCGAAAGTGCCTTCCCACCAGCCCCTGCGTGGGGCTCTGGGGATCCTGTTGTCACTGGTTCACACCAATGGTGCATTCGCACCCACAGAGGGCACTCCTAAGTGGCAAGAGGGCCAAGAAGGCAACATAAGGCTTGAAAGGGGATGTAAAGGCACCTGTGCAAGGAAAAAAATGGAATGGCAGAGTACGGAAGTCTGGGACCCCCGCGGAAGACAGTGCCTTCCCAGCAGACCCTGCATGGAGCCTCAAGGATCCTGGCATCCTGGTTCACACCCATGGTGCGTGTCACACCACCAAAGTGGCAAGAAGGCCCAGAAGGGAAGATAAGGCTCCAAAGTGGAGGTAGAGACATCTGTGGAGGGAAAAAAAAATGACAAGACAGAGGAGGGGGGCCTGGGTCCCCACTAGGATGGACGTGCCATCCCAGCAGACCCTGCAGGTGGGCCCAGGGATCCTGACGCCCCTTTTTTCGCACCCTCGGTGCATATCACACCCACGAGGGGCACCTCAATGTGGCAAGGAGGCCCAGAAGGGAAGATAAGTCTTGAAAGGGGAGGTAGAGGCACCTGTGGAAGGAAATAAAACAGCACAGCAGTGGACAGGACATGGGTCCCCCCACAGACAAAAGTGCCTTACCAGCAGCCCCTGCGTGGGGCTCCAGGGATCCTGGCATCCCTGGTTCACACTCAAGGTGTGTTTCAAGCCCATGGGTGGCACCTCAAAGTGGTAAGAAGGCCCGGAAGGGAAGATAAGGC
The DNA here is from genome assembly GCF_000001405.40 of Homo sapiens. Taxonomy (NCBI): domain Eukaryota; kingdom Metazoa; phylum Chordata; class Mammalia; order Primates; family Hominidae; genus Homo; species Homo sapiens. The sequence continues at coordinate 34,329,450 of NC_000012.12, read as the reverse complement.
TTGAAAGGGTGGTAGAGGCACCTGTGGAAGGAAAAAAAATGGCGTGGCAGAGGAGGGGTGCCCAGGTTTCCCAACGGACGAAGTTCCTTCCCAGCAGCCACTGCGCGGGGCTGCGGTGATCCTGGCGCCCCTACTTGGCACCCACATTGCATGTTGCCCATGTGGAAGGCACCACAAAGCAGCAAGAATGGCCAGAAGCGAAGATACGGCTTGAAAGGGGAGGTAGACACACCTGTGGAAAGAAAAACAAAGGTGCAGCTGAGGAGGGTGGCCCGGGTCCCCCCACAGACGAAAGTGCCTTCCCAACAGCCCCTGTGGTGGGCCCCAGGGATCCTGGCATCCCTGGATCGCACCCACGGTGCATGTCATGCCCACGGGGGTACCCCCCAAAGGGGAGGAAATCCCAGAATGGAAGATGAGCCTTGAAAGTGGAGGTAGAGGCACGTGTGGAAGGAAAAAAAATGGCGCGGCAGAGGAGGGGTTCTTGGGTCCCCCCACGGACGAAAGTGCCTTCCCAGCAGCCCCTTTGTGGAGCTCCGGGGATACTGGCATCCCTCATTCGCACCCACGGTGTGTGTTGCGCTCGCGGGAGGCACCCAAATGTGGCAGAAAGATCCAGAAGGGAAGACAAAGCCTGAAAGGGGAGATATACGCACCTATGAAGGAAAAAATTGGCAGAGGAGAGGTGCCTGGGTTCCCCCACAAATGAATGTGCCTTTCCAGCAGCCCCATAGTGGGGACACGGGGATCCTGGCATCCCTGTTTCACAACCACGGTGCATGTCGCCCCCACGGGGGCCACCCCAAAGTGGCAAGAAGGGCAAGAATGGAAGATAAGGCTTGAAAGGAGAGCTAAAGACATCTGTAGAAGAAAAGGAAACGGCATGGCAGTAGATGGGGTCCTGGGTTCTCCCAAGGATGAAAGTTCCTCCCCAGCAGCCCCTGTGCACGGCCCCCTGGCATCCAGGCATCCCCTGGTTCACACCCACAGTGCATGTTGCACCCGCAGGGGCACCCGAAATCATCAAGAAGGCCCAGAAAAGAAGATAATGCTTGAAAGGAGAGGTGTCTGGCAGAGGAACGAGGCGTGGGTCCCTGCATGGCGAATGTGCCTTCCCAGCAGCCACTGCATGGGGCCCTGGGGATCCTGATGTCCCTGGTTTGCACCCACCATGCGTGTCGCACCCACAGGTGTACCCCAAAGCGGCAAGAAGGCCCAGAAGGGAAGATATGGCATGAAGGGGTGGGGGGTAGAGGCAACTGTGGATGGAAAAAAAAATGGCATGGCAGAGAAGGGCGGCCTGGATCCCCACACGGAAAAAGTGCCTTTCCAGCAGCCCCTATGCAGGTAAGTGGGAATCCTAGAGTCACTGGTTCACACCCATGGTGGGAGTCACACGCAAGGGGGGCACCCCAAAGTGGCAAGAATGCCCAGAAGGGAAGACAAGGCTTGAAAGGGGAGGTAGATGCACCTGTAGAAGGGAAAAAACAGCACAGCAGAGAAGACGGGCCTGGGTCCCCCCCGCCCAACGGTCGAAAGTGCCTTCCCAGCAGCCCCTACGCAGGGCCCCGGGTATCCTGGCTTCACTGGTTCACAACCACGGTGCGCGTCGTGCTCGTGGGGTGCACCCCAAAGCAGCAAGAAGGTCCAGAAGGCAAGATAAGGCTTTAAAGGGGAAGTAGAGGCACCTGTGGTAAGAAAAAAAAAGGCGTGGCATAAGAGGGGAGCCTGGGTCCCCACCTAGAAGAAAGTGCCTCCCAGCAGGCCCTGGGCGGAGTCTTGGAGATCCTGGAGTCCCAGGTTCACACCCATGGTGCATGTCGCACCCATGGGGGGCACTTCAAAGCGACAAGAAGTCCCAGAAAGGAAGATAATGCTTGAAAGGGGAGGTAGAGGCACCTGTGGAAGGAAAAAAAACGGAGCAACTGCGGAGGGGGACCTGAGTGCCCCCACAGACGAAAGTGCCTTACCAGCAGCCCCTGCGCTGGGCCCCACGGATCTTGGCGTCCCTGGAACGCACCAATGGTGCATTTCACTCCCACCAGGGGAATGCCAAAGCTGCAAGAAGGCCAAGAAAGAAAGATGAGGCTTGAAAGGGGAGTTAGAGTCACCTTTGAAAGAAACAAAATGGCACGTCAGAGAAGGGGGGCCTGGGTCCCCCCACGGACGAAAGTGCCTTCCCACAGACCCAGCATGGGACCTCGGGGATCCTGGCATCCCTGGTTCACACCCACATGCGTGTCGCGCCCACTGGGGGCACCTCAAAGCAGCAAGAAGGCCCAGAATTGAAGTTAAGACTTGAAAGGAGACGTAGAGGCACCTGTGGAAAGAAAAAAACGGTGCAGCAGAGGAGGTGGGCCTTATCAGCAGTCCCTGCGCAGTTCCCCAGGGAACCTCACATCCCTGCTTTGCACCCATGGCAAGTGTCGCGTCCACAGGGGTACCCCAAAGCAGCTCGAAGGTCCAGAAAGGAAGACAAGGCTTGAAAGAGGAGGTAGAGTCACCTGTGGAAGGAAAAACAAATGTCACGGTAGAGGAGGGTGGCCTGGGTCGCCCCCCACAGAAGAATGTGCCTTCCCAGCAGCCCCTGCGCTGTGTCCTGGGGATCCTGGCATCCTTGGTTCGCAACAATAGTGCGTGTAGCGCCCGCATGGGGCAGGCCAAAATGTCAAGAAAGCCCAGAAGAGAAGATAAGGCCTGAAATGGGAGAAACAGGCCCCTGTGGAAGGACAAAAAATGGCACGGCAGAGTAGGGTGGCCTGGGTCCTCCAACGGACGAAAGTGCCCTCCCAGCATCCCCTGCGCGGGGTCCCTGGGATGCTGGAGTATGAGGTTCACACCCATGGTGTGTGTTGAGCCCACAGGGGCACCCCAGAGCGGAAAGAAGGCCCAGAAAGGAAGATAAGGCTTGAAAGGAGATACTGGCGTCCCTGGTTCACACCCAGGGTGTGTGGCGCACCCACCTGGGAACCCTAATGTGGCAAGAAGGCTCAGAAAGGAAGATAAGGCTTGAAATGGGAGGCAGTGGCACCTGTGGAAGGAAAAAAATATGGTATGGCAGAGAAGGGTGGCCTGGGTCCCCCCAAAGACGAAAGCACCTTCCCAGCAGCACCTGCGCAGGGCCCCAGGGATACTGGTATCCCTGCTTCACACCCACCTCACGTGTCGTGCCCATGGGGGGCACCCCAAAGGGGCAAGTAGGCCGATAAGGGAAGGTAAGGCTCGAAAGGGGAGATAGAGGCACCTGTGGAAGGAAAAAAAATGGCATGGCAAGGGAGGGGTGCCTGGGTCCCCACAAGGAAGAAAGGGCCTTCCCAGCAGCCACTGGGCAGGGCTCCAGGAATCCCGGCACCCCTGGTTCAAACACACGTTGCGTGTCGTGCCCGCGGGAGGCAACCTAAATGGCAAGAGGTCCCAGAAAGTAAGATAAGGCTTGAAAAGGGAGGTAGAAGCATCTGTAGAAGGCAAGAAAATGGAGCGGCAGAGGCGGTGGACCTGGGTTCCCCCACGGATGAAAATGCCTTCCTAGTAGCGCCTTTGCGGGGTCCCGGGGATTCTGGCTTCCCTGATTCGCACCCAGGGTGCGTGTTGCGCCCATGGGGGGCAGTGCACTACGGCAAGAAGCCCCAGAATGGAAGACAAGGCTCAAAAGGGAAAGTAGACGCACCTTTGGAAGGAAAAAAATGGCGCGTTAGACGAGGGGTTCCTGGGTCCCCCAAAGGACGAAAGTGCCTTCCCAGCAGCCCCTGCATCGGGTCCCTGGGATACTGGCATACCTGGTTCACACCCACGGTGCGTGTCCTGACCACGGGGGGCACCCCAAAGCAGCAAAAAGGCCCAGAAAGGAAGACAAGTCTTGAAAGTGGAGGTAGACGAACCGGAGGAAGGAAAAAAAATGGCGTGGCAGAGGACGGGGGCCTGGGTCACCCCACGGACGAAAGTGGCTTCCCAGCAACCCCTGCACAGGGCACCAGGGTTACTTCCATCCCTGGTACACGTTCACGGTGCATTTTGCACCCACAGGGACACTCCAAAGTTGCACGAAGACTCAAAGGGAAGATAAGGCTTGAAAGGGGAGGTAGAGACACCTGTTGAAGGAAAAAAAATTGATGCCACAGAAGAGGGGGACCTGGGTCCCCCCACAGACGAAAGTGCCTTCCCTGCATACGCTTTGCAGGTCCCTGGTGATCCTGGCATCCCTGATTCACACCTACGGTGTGTGTCGCGCCCACGGGTGTACCCCAATGTGGCAGAAGGTCCCAGAAATGAAGATAAAGCTTGAAAGGGGAGGTAAAGCCACCTGTGGAAGGAAAAAATGGCGCGGCCGAGGTGGGGGCCTGGTTCCCCCCATGGACGAAAGTGCCTTCCCAGCAGCCCCTGCACGGGGCTCCGGAAATCCTGGCATACCTGGTTTGCACCAACGGTACCTGTCGCGCCCAAGGGGGGCACCCCCATACAGCAAGAAGGCACAGAAGGGAAGATAAGGCTTGAAAGGGGAGGTAGAGGCACCAGTTGAACAAAAATAAATGGGGCAGCAGAGAAAGGGGACCAGGGTTCCCCCACGGACGAAAGTGCCTTCCTTTCCCACCAGGCCTTGTGCAAGACCCGGGGATCCAGGCATCCTGGTTTACACCCAGGATGTGTGTTTTGCCCATGGGGTGCACCGCACTGTGGCAAGGATGCCCAGAATAGAAGATAAGGCTTGAAAGCAGTTTTAGAGACACCTGTGGAAACAAAAAACATGGTGAGGCAGAGTAGAGGGCCTGGGTCTCCCCACGGATGAAAGTGCCTTCCCAGCAGCCACTGCGCAGGGCCCCGGGGATCCTGGTGTCCTTGGTTTGCACCTACGGTGCCCACAGGGGCACTCCAAAGCGACAAGAAAACCCAGAAGGGAAGATAAGGCTTGAAAGGGGAGGTAGAGGAAGCTGCGGAAGGCAAAAAAATGGCAGGGCCAAGAAAGTGAGCCTGGTTCCTTCCACGGACGGACGTGTGTTCCCAGCAGCCCCTGAGTGGGGTCTGCGGAGGTCGTGGGGTACGTGTCTCACCCAAGGGAGTCACCCCAGAACGGCAAGAAGGCCCGTAAGGGAAGATAAGGCTTCAAAACGGAGGTCGAGGCAGCTGTGGAAGGAAAAAAAATGATGCGGACGAGAAAGGGGGCCTGGGTCCTTCTACGGATGGAAGTGCCTTCCCAGCAGCCCGTGCGTGGGGCCCTGGAAATCATGGGGTCCATGGTTCACACCCACAGTGTGTGTCGCGCCCAATGGGGCAACAAAAGTGGCAAGAAGGCACAGAAGGGAATATAAGGCTTGAAATGGGAGGTGGAGGCACCTGTGGAAGGAAAAAAATGGCGCAGCAGAGGAGGGGGCCTGGGTCCCCCTCGGATGACAATGCCTTCCCAGCAGCCCCTGTGTTGGGCCCGGGGATCCTGGAGTCCCTGGTTCACACCCACAGTGTGTGTCGTGCCGACAGGGGCCACCGCCAAGCGGCAAGATGGCCCAGGAGGGAAGATAAGTTTTGATAGGGGAGGTAGAGGCACCTGTGGAAGGAAAAAAAAGATACGGCAGAGAAGAGGTGCCTGTGTCCCCCCATGCACAAAAGTCGATTCCCAGCATCCCCTGCGCAGGCCCCTGGGGATCCTGGCGTCCCTGGTTCGCACTCACGTTGCGTGTGACGACCACAGGGAGCACATCAAAGAGGCAAAAAAGCCCAAAAGGGAAGATATGACCTGAAAGGTGTGCTAGAGGCACCTGTGTATGGAAAAAAATGGAACTTCAGAGAAGAGGGGCCTGGATCCCCCGCAAGGGGGAAAGTGCCTTCCCATCAGCCCCTGCGTGGTTTACTGGGGATTCTGGCATCCCTAGTTTGCACCCATGATGGGAGTCACGCACATGGCAGGCTCCCCAAAACGGCAAGAAGGGACAGAAGGGAAGATAATGCTTGAAAGGGGAGGCAGATGCACCTCTGCAAGGAATAAAAATACCACAGCATAGGAGGGGGGCCTCAGTGCCCCAATGGACGAAAGTCCCTTCCCAGCAGCACCTTCGTGGGGACCCAGGAATCCTGGCATCCCTGGTTTGCACTCACGTTGCATGACGTGCCCGCAGGGGGCACCCCATAGTGACAAGGCAGCCCAGAAAGGAAGATGAGTTTGAAAGGGGAGGTGGAGGAACCTGTGGAAGAAAAAAAAATGGTGCAATAGAGGAAGGGGGCCTGGGTCCTCCCAAGGATAAAAGTGCCTTCTCAGCAGCCCATGCACGGGGACCCAGGGATCCTGATGTCCCTGGTTCACTATCACGGTGAGTGACACGACCACAGGGGGCACCTCAAGGCGGCAAGAAAGCCCAGAAGAGAAGACATAGCTTGAAAGCGGAGGTAGAGGCATCTGTGGATGGAAAAAATTGGCATGGCAGAGAAGGGGTGCCTCGGTCCCCCCACAGGCCAAAGTGACATCCCTGCAGACAATGAACGGGGCCCTGGAGATCCTGGTGTCCCTGGTTCACACCCACAGTGCGTGTCTCACCCATGAGGGGCACCCCAAAGCAGGAAGAAGGCCCAGAAGGGAAGATAAGGCTTGAAAGCAGAGTTAGAGGCAGCTGTGGAATGAAAAAAAAGTGGCGCGGCAGAGGAGGGGGCCTGGGTCCCCCCACAGAAGAAAGTTCCTTCCCAGCAGCCCCTGCTTGGGGCCCCGGGGATCCTGGCATCCCTGGTTCACAACCACAGTGCGTGTCATGTCCATGGGGGCACACCAAAGCTGCAAGAAGGAACAGAAGGGAATATAAGGCTTGAAAGTGGAGGTAGTGGCACCTGTGGAAGGATAAAAACAGTGCTGCAGAGGAGGGCAGACTGGATCCCCCCACAGAAGAAAGTGCCCTCCCAGCAGCCCCTGCGCAGGGCCCCATGGATCCTGGCATCCCTGGTTTGCATCCACAATGCGTGTCGTGCCTGGGGGGACACCCAAAGCAGCAAGAAATCCAAGAAGGTAAGATCAGGTATGAATGGGGTGGTAGAGGCCCCTGTGGAAGGAAAAACAAGGCAAGGCAGAGGAGGCGGGACTGGGTCCCCTCATGGATGAAAGTGCCTTCCCAGCAGCCCCTGCGGGGGACCCCAGGGATTCTGGCATCCCTGGTTCACACCCACAGTGAGAGTCACACCCACAGTGAGTGTCACGCCCACAGGGGGCACCCCAAAGCGGCACGAAGGCCCAGAAGGGAAGACAAGCCTTGAAAGTGGAGGTAGAGGTACCTGTGGAAGGAAAAAAAACAGCGCGGCACAGGAGGGGGGTCTGGGTCCCTTCGCGGATGAATGTGCCTTCCCAGCAGCTGCTGCATGGGGCCCTGGGGACCCTGCCATCCCTGGCTCACACCCATGGTGAATGTCAAGACAACGGGGTCATCCCAAAGCGGCAAGAAGGCCCAGAAGTGACGATAAGGATTGAAAGGTGATGTAGAGGCACCAGTGGAAGGACAAAAACGGGCATGGCTGAAAAGGGGAGCCTGAGTCTTCCCAAGGAAGAAAATGCCTTCCCAGTAGCCCTTGCACGTGGCCCCGGCGATCCTGGCATCCCTGGTTCCCACCCACAGTGCTTGTCGAACCCGCAGAAGGCAACCCAAAATGGCAAGAAGCCCAGAAGGAAAGACAAGGCTTGAAAGGAGAGGTAGAGGCACCTGTGGAAGGAAAAAAAACAACACGGCAGAGGAGGGAGGCATGGGTCCCCCCACGGAAGAAAGCACTTTCCCAGGAGACCCTACGCGTGGCCCAGGCGATTCTGGCATACCTGGTTCACACCCACGGTGCATGTCGCGACAACGGCATTACCGCAAAGGGGCAAGAGGGTTCAGAAGGGACGATAAGGCTTGAAAGGTGAGGTGGAGCACGTGTGGATGGAAAAAAATGGCGCCGCAGAAAAGGGGGGCGTGGGTCACCCCATGAACCAAAGTGACTCCCCAGCAGCCCCTTCACGGGGCCTCGGAGATCCTGGAGTCCCTGGTTCACAGCCAAGTTGCGTGTTGCCACCACGGGGTTCGTCCCAAAGCAGGAAGAAGGCACGGAATTGAAGAAAAAGGCTTTAAAGGGGAGGTAAGGCACCTGTGGAAGGAAAAATAACGGCCCGGCAGAGGAGGGGGTCCTGGGTCCCCCATGGACGAAAGTGCCTTCCTAGCAGCCCCTGCGTGGGACCCTGGGAATCCTGGCATCCCTGGTTCATACCCACAGTGCATGTCGCTCCCGTGGGGGCAGCCCAATGTGGCCAGAAGTCCTGGAAGGGAAGATAAGGCTTGAAAAGGGAGGTAGAGGTATCTTTGTAAGGAAAATACATGGCGCGGCAGAGAAAGGGGGCCTATGTCTCCCCATGGACGATAGTGCTATCCCAGTAGCTACTGGGCAGGGCCCCAGGGATCCTTCCATCCCTGGTTCGCACCCATGGTGCATGTTGCACCCACATGGGGCACCCCAAAGCGACAAGAAAGCCCAGAAAGGAAGATAAGGCTTGAAAGGGAAGACTGAGGCACCTGTGAAGGGAAAAAAAAGGCGTGGCAGAGGAGTGGAGACTGGGTCTCCAACGGACGAAAGTGCCTTCCCAGCAGCGGGGCCCTGGGAATCCAGACATCCCTGGTTCGTACCCATGGTGCGTGTTTTGCCTGCGGGGGCAGCTCAAAGCGGCAAGAAGGGACAGAATGGAAGACAAGGCTTGAAAGGGGAGGTAGAGGCACCTGTGGTAGGAAAAAAACCAGAGGGGGTCCTGGGTCCCCCAACGGAAGAAAGTGCCTTCCCAGCAGCTCTGGCGTGGGGCCCCGGGGATCCTGGCATCCCTGGTTCACACCCAGGGTGCTGGTCGTGCACACGGAGGGCACCCCAATGTGTCAAGATGGCCCAGAACAGAATATAAGGTTTGAAAGAGGAGGTGGTGGCACCTGTGGAAGAAAAAATATGGCACGGCAGAGGAGGGGGGCCTGGGTCCTCCCACAGACGAATGTGCCTTCCCAGCAGCCCGAGCAGGGTCCTGGGGATCCTAGCTTCCCTGGTTCTCACCAATGGTACGTGTCATACCCACAGGGGGCACCCCAAAGTGGCAAGAAGGCCGCGAAGAGAAGATAAGTCTTGAAAGCGGAGTTAGAGGCACCTATGGAAGGAAAAAATATGGCGCGACGTAGGAGGGGGGCCTGGGTCTCCCCATGGATGAAAGTGCCTCTCCAGCAGCCCCTGCGTGAGGCCTCGGGGATGCTGGCATCCCTGGTTCACGCTCAAGGTGTGTTTCAAGCCCACAGGAGGTACCCCAAAGCGGTAAGAAGGCCCAGAGGGAAGATAAGGCTTGAAAGGGGAGGTACAGGCACCTGTGGAAGGAAAAAAATGGTGTGGCAGAGGAGGGGGGCCTGGATCCCCCCACAAACAGAAGTGCCTTTCCAGCAGCCCCTGCAAAGGGCCCTAGGGATCCTGGCGTCCCTGGTTCACAAACATGGTGCCTGTCACGACCATAGGGAGGCACCCCAAAGTGGCATCAAGGCCCATAAGGTGAGATAAGGCTTGAAAGGGGCTGTAGAGGCACCTGTGGAAGGAAAGACAACGGCGCAGCAGAGGAGGGATGCCTGGGTTCCCCCATGGACTAAAGTGCTTTCCCAGGAGCCCCTGCGCGGAGCCCCGGGTATTTTGGCATCCCTGGATCGCACCCACGAAGGGCACCCCAAAGTAGCAAGAAGACCCAGAATGGAAGATAAGCCTTCTAAGGGGAGGTAGAGGCACCTGTGGAAGTAAAGAATAAGGCGCAGCAGAGGAAGGGGTCCTGGGTCGCCCAACGGACAAAAGTGCCTTCACAGCAGCCCATGGGCGAGGCCCCGGGAATCCTGGCCTCCCTGTTTCTCACCCACGGTTCGTGTTGTGGCCATTGAGGGGCACCCCAAAGTGACAAGAAGGCCCATATGAGGAGATAAAGGTTGAAATGGGAGGTAGAGGCACCTGTGGAAGGAAAAAAAATGGCGTGGCAGATAAGGGGGGCTTGGGTCCCACCACGGAAAAAAGTGCCTTCCCAGCAGCCCCTGCACGGGGCTCTGGAGATACTGGCGTCCCTGGTTCACGCCCACGGTGCATGCCCCCCCACCGTGGGGGAACCCGAAAGTAGCAAGAAGGCCCATAAGGGGAGATAAGGCTTGGAAGGGGAGGTAGAGGCACCTGTGGAAGGAAAAAAAATGGCACAGCAGAAGATGGGGGCCTGGATCCTCCCACAAACGAAAATGCGTTCCCAGCAGCCACTGCATGGGGCCCCGGAGATACTGGCATCCCTGGTTTGCACCCACAGTGCGTGTCATGCCCGACGGGGCACCCCAAATCAGCAAGAAGTTCCAGAAGGGAAGATATGGCTTGAAAGGGGAGGTAGAGGCACCAGTGGAAGGAAAAAAAAAAAAAAACGATGTGGCACAGGAGGGGGGCCTAGGTCCTCCCACGGATGAGACTGCCTTCCCAGTAGCCAATGAGTGGGGCCCCAGGGATCCTCACATCCCTGGTTCGCACCCAAGGTGCTTGTCGAGCCCAAGGGGGACTCTCCAAAGAGGCAAGAGGGCCCAGAAGGGAAGGGAAGGCTTCAAAGGGGATGTAGAGGAACCTGTGGAAGGAAAAAAAATGGCGCTGCCGCAGAGGGGGACCCAGGTCCCCCACTGACGAAAGTGCCTTCCCAGCAGCCCCAGCTCGGTACCCCAAGGATCCTGGCATCCCTGGTTCACAAACACGGTGGGTGTCCCACCTGCCAGGGGGGACCCCAAAGCGGCAAAAAGGTCGAGAAGGGAAGATAAGGCTTCAAAGGGGAGGTAGAGGCAACTGTGGAAGGAAAAACAATTGTGCGGAAGAAGAGGGGGGCGTGGGGCCCCCCATGGACGAAAGTGCACAGGAGCCCCTGCGTGGAGCCCCAGCGATGCTGGTGTCCCTGTTCACACTGATGGTGCATGTTGCATCTGACCTGGGCACCCCAACGTGGCAAGAAATCCTAGAAGGGAAGATAAGGCTTGAAAGGGGAGGTAGAGGCACCTGTGGAAGGAAGAAAAACAGCGCGACAGAGGAGGGGAACTGGGCCCCCTATGGGTGAAAGTGCCTTCCCAACAGTCCCTGCTTGGGGACCCGGGGATCCTGGAATCCCTCGTTCGCACCCATGGGGCATGTCGTGCCCACCGGGGGGCACCCCAATGTAGCAATAAGGCCAAAAAGGGGAGAAAAGTCTTGTAAGGGGAGGTAGAGGCAAGTGTAGAAGGAAAAAAATGGCGCGGCAGAGAAGCAGGGCCTAGGTCCACCCACGGTTGAAAGTGCCTTCCCAGCAGCCTCTGCGTAGGGCCCAGGACTTCCTGGCATCCCTGGTTCGCACCCACGGTGCTTGTCACGCAAACAGGCGCCTCCTCAATGCGTCAAGAAGGAGCAGAAGGGAAGATAAGCCTTGAAAAGGGAGGTATAGGCAACTGTGGAATTAAAAAAAAGCGCGGCAGGGAAGGGGGGCCTGGCTCGCCCCATGGATGAAAGTGCCATCCAAGCAGCCCCTGCGCAGGACCCTGGGGATCCTGGCATCCCTGATTCTCACCCACGGTGCATGTCACACCCAAGTGGGGGCATCCCAAAGCAGCAAAAAGCCCCATAAGGAGAGATAAGGCTTGAAAGGGGAGTCAGAGGCACCTGTGGAAGGGAAAAAAAGGCGCGGCAGAGGAGGGGGACCTAGGTCCCCCCACGGATGAAAGTGTCTTCCCAACAGCCCCTGCACGGGGCCCCAGGGATGCTGGTGTCCCTGGTTCACACCATGGTGCATGTTGCACCCGCGGAGTCACCACAAAGCAGCAAGAAGTCTCAGAAGGGAAGATAAATCTTGAAAGGGGAGGTAGAGTTACCTGTGTAAGGAAAAATAATGCGGATCATAAGGGGGGGCCTGGGTTCCCCCTTGGACGAAAGTGCCTTCCCAGCAGCCCCTGTGCAGAGTCCCGGGAATCCTGGCACCCCTGTTTCACACCCACGGTGCGTGTCGTGCACACGGGGGACACTACAAAGCAACAAGAAGGGCCAGAAGGGAACATAAGGCTTGAAACAGGGGTAGAGGCACATGTGGAGGGAAAAGAAAATGGCATGGCAGAGGAGGGGGTCCTAGGTCCTCCCACAAGAAAATGCTGTCCCAGTAGCCCCTGTGCGGGGCCCGGGGGTCCTGGCATACCTGGTTCGCAATGAGGGTGCCTGTCGGACCCACAGGTTGGGCCCCAATTCGGCAAGAATTGAGAGAAGGGAAAATAAGGCGTCAAAGGTGAGGTAGTGGCACCTGTTGAAGGAAAAAAAAAATGGCGCGGCAGAGGAGAGGGTCCTGGTTCCACCTGCGGATGAAAGTGCCTTCCCAGCATCCTGTGCATTGGGACTTGGTGATCCTGGCCACCCTGGTTTGTTCCCACTGTGCATCTCACGCCCGTGGGGGGCACCCAAAAGTGGCAAGGCGGCCCAGAAGGTCATATAAGTCTTGAAAGGTGAAGTAGAGGTACCTGTGAAAGGAAAAAAAAGGCACGGCAGAGGAGAGGGGCCTGGGTTACCCCACGGATGAAAGTGCCTTCCCAGCAGCCCCTGCTCAGTGCCCAGGGAACACTGGCATCCTAGTTCGTACCATCCGTGCATGTCACACATGCGGGGAGCACCTCAAATCAGCAAGAAGGCCCGGAAGCGAAGATTAGACTTGAAAGGGGAGGTAGAGGCATCTGTGGAAGGAAAAAATATGGCGCAGCAGAGGAGGGGGCCTAGGTCCCCCATGGACGAAAGTGCCATCCCAGCAGCCACTGTGTGGGGCCACGGGGATTCTGGCATCTCTGGTTCATAGCCAAGGTGTGTGTCGTGCCTGTGCAGGGTACCCTAAAGCAGCAAAAAGGCCCAGAACGAAAGATAATGCTTAAAAGGGGAGGTAGAGCCATCAGTGGAAGGAAAAAAATTGGCACAGCCGAGAAGGGGTCCTGCATAACCCAACGGCCAAAAGTGTTTCCCTAGGAGCCCTGGAGCAGGGCCCTGGGGATCCTGATGTCCCAAGTTCACACCCACAGTGCGGGTCTTGCCCATGGGGCACTCCAAAGTGGCAAAAAGGCCCAGAAGTGAAGATAAGGCTTGAAAGGGGAGGTAGAGCCATCTGTTGAGGGAAAAAAAAAACGGTACGGCTGAGGAGGAGGACCTGGGTCCTCCCAGAGACGAAAGTACGTTTCCATTAGCCCCTGCGTGGGGCTCCGGGGATCTTGGCCTCCCTGGTTCACAGCCACAGTGTGCGTTGCACCCGTGGGAGGGCACCCCAAAGAGGCAAGAAGGTCCAGAAGGAAAGATAAGGCTTGAAACAGGAGGTAGACCCACCTGGGGAAGGAAAAAAATGGCGCATCAGAGGAGGGGTGTCGGGGTTCCCCAAGGATGAAAGTGCCTTCCCAGCGGACCCTGAGCAGGGACCCGGGGATCCTGGTGACCTTGGTTCGCACCCACAGTGCGTGTTGCACCCCCAGGGGGCACCCCTAAGTGGCAAGAAGGTCCCGAAGGGAAGATAAGGCTTGAAAGGGGAGGTAGAGGCACTTGTAGAAGGAAAAAAGGCATGGCACAGGAGGGGGGCCTGGGTCCTCCCACAGACGAACGGGCCTCCTCAGCAGCCCCGTCGCAGGGCCCCAGTGATACTAGCATCCCTGATTTGCACCAATGGTGCATGTCGTGCCCGCTGGGGGGCAACCCAAAATGGCAAGTAGGGCCAGAAGGGAAGATAAGGTTGAAAGGGGAGGTAGAGTGACCTGTGGAAGGAAAAAAATCGTGCAGCATAGGAGGGGAGCCTGGGTCCCCCCATGGACAAAAGTATCTTCCCAGCAGCCACTGGTCCTGGCATCCCTGTCTCGCACCAAGTTGATTGTCACTCCCACAGGGGCCAACCCAAAGTTGCAAAAATGACCAGAAAGGAAGATAAGGCTTGAAAGGGCAAGTAGAGGCACCTGTGGAAGGAAAAACAATGGCCCAGGAGCAGAGGACGGCCTGGATTCCCCGACGGACGAAAGCGCCTTCCCAGCAGCTCCTGCCTGGGGCCCAGGGAATCCTGGCATCACTGGTAAATACACATGGTGCATGTCGGGCACCCCAAAGTGGCAATAATTAAGAAAAGGGAACATAAGGTTTGAAAGATGAGGTAGCGGCACCTGTGAAAGGAAAAAAAAATGGCGTGGCAGAGGAGGGGTCCTGGGTCCCACCACAGACAAAAGTGCCTCCCTAGCAGCCCCTGAATGGGGACTTGGTGATACTGGAGTACCTGGTTCACACACACTGTGTGTGTCACGCCCGCAGGGGACACTCCACAGTGGCAAGAAGGCCCAGAAGGGAAGATAAGGCTTGAAAGGGGAGGTAGAGGCACCTGTGGAAGGAAAAAAATGGTGCGGCAGAGGAGGGGGGCCTGGGACACCCCACAGACGAAAGTGCCTTCCCAGCAGCCCATGCTCAGGGCCCAGGGGATGCTGCCATCCCTGGTCCACACCATCTGTGCATGTCGCACATGCGAAGGGCACCTCAAAGAAGCAAGAAGTCCCAGAAGGGAAGATAAGGCTAAAAAGGGGAGGTAGAGGCACCTGTGGAAAGAAAAATATGGCGAAGCAGAACAGGGAGTCTGGGTCTCCCCACGGACAAAAGTGCCATCCCAGCAGCCCCTGCGTGGGGATCTGGGGATTCTGGCATCCCTGGTTCGCTCCCAAGGTGTGTGTCATGACGGCAGGGTGCACCCAAAGAGGCAAGAAGGCCCAGAGAGGAAGATAAGGCTTGAAAGAGGAGGTAGAGGCACCTGTGGAAGGAAAAAAAATGGCGACCCAGAGGAGCGGGGCCTGGGTCCCCCCAAGGATGAAAGTGCCTTCCCAGCACCCCCTGGGTGGGGCTGCAGGGATCCTGGCATCCATGGCTCACAAGCATGGTGCTTGTCACGCCCACGGGGGCAACCCAAAGTTGCAAGAACGCCCATTAAAGAAGATAAGGCCTGAAAGGAGAGGTAGAGGCACCTGTGGAAAGAAAGCTAATGGTGTGGCACAGGAGGGGGCCCTGGGTCCATCCACGGAAGAAAGTGCCTTCACAGCAGCCCCTGTGCAGGGCCCTGGGGATTCTGACTTCCCCGGTTCGCATACACAGTGAGTGTTGTGCCCATGGTGGGCCCCCCTCAGTGGCAAGGAGGCACTGAAAGAAAGATAAGGCTTGAAAGGGGAGGTAGAGAACCCTGTGGAAGAAAAAAATGGTGCGGCAGAGAAGGGGGGCCTGGGTCGCCCCGTGCACGAAAGTACTTTCCCAGCATCCCCTGCGCGGGTCCCCGAGGATCCTGGCTTGCCTGGTTCGCACCCACGGTGCATGTCATGCCCATAAGGGGCCCTTCAAAGTGGCAAGAATGCCCAGAAAGGAAGATAAGGCTTTAAAGGGGAGGTAGAGGCACCTGTGGAAGAAAAAAAAATGGTGCAGCAGAGGAGGGGAGCCTGGGTCTACCCACAAACAAAAGTGCCTCCCCGGCAGCCCCTGCGCTAGGACCCGGGTATCCTGGCATCCCTGGTTCACACCCACGGTGCGTGTCATGCCCACGGGGTGCATGTCACGCCAGGAGGGTCACCCCAAAGTGGTAAGAATGCCCAGAAGGGAAGATAAGGCTTGAAAGTGGAGGAAGAGGCAACTGTAGAGGGAAAAAAGTGGCGTGAAAGAGGATGGGGTACTGGGTCCTCCCATGGACGAAAGTGCCTTCTCAGGAACCCCTGCATGGGGCCCCGGGGATCCTGGCATCCCTGGTTCACACCCACGGTGTGTGTCACCCTCACAGGGGCACCCCAAAATGGCAAGAAAGCCCAGAAGGGAAGATAACGCTTGAAAGGGAAGATAGAGGCACCTGTGGAAGGGAAAAAAAACGGTGTGGCAGAGGAGGGGGGCTTGGGTTTTCCCACAGATGAAACTGCTCATCCAGTAGCCCCTGTGCGGGGTCCTGGTAATGCTGGCATCCCTGATTCGTACCCAGAGTGTGTGTCACACCCGCCGGGGGCACCCCAAAGCGGCATGAAAGTCTAGAAAGGAACATAAGACTTGAAAGGGGAAGTAGAGGCACCTGTGGAAGGAAAAACAATGGCATGGCAGAGGAGGAGGGCCTGGGTCCCGCCACAATAGAAAGTGCCTCCCCAGTAACCCATGCGTGAGGCCCAGGGCTCCTGGCATCCCTGGTTCACACCCACAGTGCTTGTCGCGCCTACGGGGCACCCCAAGTGGCAAGAAGTCCTAGAAGGGAAGATAAGGCTTGAAAGAAGGGCTAGAGGCATCTGTGGAAAAAAAAAATACGACACGGCAGAAGAGAGGGGCCTGGGTTCCCCAACGGACGTAAGTGCCTTCCCAGCAGCCATTGCGTGGGGCCCCGGGTATGCTGACATCCAGGGTTCACACCCACGGTGCGTGTTGCCCACACGGAGGGCACCAGAAAGCGGCAAGAAGGCCCAGAAGGGAAGATAGGGCTTGAAAGGAGAGTAAGAGGAACAAATATGGTGCGGCACAGAATGGGGGCGTGTGTCCCCTAACAGAAGAAAGTACCTTCCCAGCAGCCCCTTCATGGGGCCCCAGGGATCCTGGTGTCACTGGTTCACACCCACAGTAGGTGTCGCACACATGGAGGACACCCCAAAGCAGCAAGAAAGCCCAAAGGGGAAGATAAGGCTTCAAAGGGGAGGTAGAGGAAACTGTGGAAGGGAAAAAAAGTGGCGCAGCACAGAAGGGGGACTGGGTCCCCCCACGGAAGAAAGTGCCTTTCCAGCAGAACCTGCACTTGGCCCGGGGATCCTGGCATCCCTGGTTCGCACCCATAGTGCTTGTCGTGTCCACGGAGGTCACCCAAAATGATAAGAAAGCCAAGAAGGGAAGATAAGGCTTGAAAGGGGAGGTAGAGGCAGCTGTGGAAGAAAAAAATGGCACAGCTGAGGAGGGGGGTGCCTAGGTCCCACAGCGGACGAAAGTGCCTCCAGCACCCCCTGCGAGGGGACCCAGGGATCCTGGCATGCCTGGTTCACAACCTTGGTGTGGGTTGTGCCCGCGGGGGTGATCTCAAATCGTCAAGAAGGCCCAGAAGGGAAGATAAGTCTTGAAAGGAGAGTTAGAAGCACCTGGGGAAGGAAAAAAAATGGCACAGCAGAGGAGGGGTCCTAGGTCCCCCCAGGAATGGAAGTGCCTTCCCAGCAGTCCCTGCACGGGGCCCTGGGGATAAAGGCATATCTAGTTCGCAACGATGGTGCATGTCACGCCCACAGTGGGCACATCTAAGTGGCAGGAAGGCCCAGAAGGGAAGATAAGGCTTGAAAGGGGAGACAGAGGCAACTGTGGAAGGAGAAAAATGGTGCAGCAGAGGAGGGGGGCCTGGATCTCTGCACGGACGAAAGTGCCTCCCCAGCAGAACCTGTATGGGACCCCAGGGATCGTGGCATCCCTGGTTCGCACCACGGTGCCTGTCGGGCACACGTAGGCCACCCCAAAGCGGCAAGAAGGCCCAGAAGAGAAGTTAAGGGTTGAAAGAGGAGGAAGAGGCACCTGTGGAAGGAAAAAAAAAAAAACGGCGTGGAACAGGAGGTAGGCGTGGGTCACCCCGCGGAAAAAAGTGACTTGCCATCAGTCCCTTCGCGAAGACCCGGGGATACTGGCATGCCTGGTTCACACCCACGGTGGGTGTCGCGCCCAGGGAGGGCACACCAAAGTGGCAAGAAGGCCCAGAAGGGAAGATAAATCTTGAAAGAGGAGGTAGAGGTACCTGTGGAAAGAAAAAAATGGCGCGGCAGGGGAGGGTGGCTTGAGTCCTACCTCTGACGAAAGTGCCTTCCCAGCAGTCCCTATGTGGGGCCCCAGGGACCCTGGCATCCCTGGTTTGCACCAACAGTGCATGTCGCGCCCTTGGATGGCACCCCAAATTGGCAATATGCCAGAAGAGAGGATAAGGCTTGAAAGGGGAGATAGAGGCACCTGTGGAAGGAGAAAAACGGTGTGGCAGAGGAGGGGGCCTTGGTCCCCCCACAGAAGGAAGTCCCTTCCCAGCAGCCCATGCATGGGACCCCAGGAATCCTGACCTCCCTGGTTCGCACCCACGGTGCATGTCACGCACAAGGGGTGGCAAAATTAAGCAGCAACACCCCCGAAGAGAAGATAAGGCTTGAAATGGGAGGCAGAGGCAACTGTGGAAGGAAAAAAAAAAGACACAACAGAGGAGGGTGGTCTGGGCCCCCACGGACATACGTGCCTTCCCAGCAGCCCCTGCGCCATGCCCCAGGGATCCTGGCGTGCCTGGTTGGCACCCACAGAGCGTGTGGCACGCGCGGCGTGCAGCCCAAAGTGGCAAGAAGACCCAGAAGGGAAGATAAGGCTTGAAAGGGAGGGAGAGGCACCAGCGCCTCTACTTCCCCTTTCAAGCCTTATCTTCCCTTCTGGGTCTTCTTGCCACTTTGGGGTGTCCCCGTGAGCACGACACGCACCATGGGTGTGAAGCAGGGACGCCAGGATACCCGGGACCCGTGCAGGAGCTGCTGAGAAGGCACTTTTGCTATGGGAGTGTGTCCGGAATTGATGTGTTCTTGGTCTCTGACTTCAAGAATGAAGCCGCGGACTCTCGCAGTGTGACAGTTCTTAAAGACGGTGTGTCTGGAGTTTGTTCCTTCTGACGTTCGGACGTGTCAGAGTTTCTTCCTTCTGGTGGGTTCGTGGTCTCGCTGGCTTCAGGAGTGAAGCTGCAGACCTTCGTGGTGAGTGTTACAGCTCTTAAGGCGGTGCGTCTGGAGTTGTTCGTTCCTCCAGGTGGGTTCGTGGTCTCGCTGGCCTCAGGAGTGAAGCTGCAGACCTTCGCTGTAAATGTTACAGCTCATAAAGGCAGTGCGGACCCAAAGAGCGAGCAGCAGCAAGATATATTGCAAAGAACGAAAGAACAAAGCTTCCACAGTGTGGAAGGGGACCCGAGAGGGTTGCCACTGTTGGCTCAGGCAGCCTGCTTTTATTCCCTTATCTGGCCCCACTCACATCCTGCTGATTGGTCCATTTTACAGAGAGTTGATTGGTCTGTTTTACAGAAACCTGATTGGTCTGTTTTGACAGGGTGCTGATTGCTGTGTTTACAATCCCTGAGCTAGACACAAAAGTTCTCCAAGTCCCCACTAGATTAGCTAGACACAGGGTGCTGATTGATGTGTTTACAAACCTTGAGCTAGACACAGGGTGCTGATTGGTGTGTTTACAAATCTTGAGCTAGACACAGAGTGCTGATTGGTGTATTTACAATCCCTTAGCTAGACATAAAGTTTCCCAAGTCCCCACTAGACTCAGGAGCCCGGCTGGCTTCACCTAGTGGATCCTGCACAGGGGCTGCAGGCAGAACTGCCCACCAGTCCCGCGCTGTGCGCCTGCACTCCTCAGTCCTTGAGCGGTGGATGGGACTGGGCACCACTGAGCAGAGGGCGGTGCTCGTCGGGGAGGCTCGGGCCATGCAGGAGCCCAAGGCCGTGGGGGAGAGGCTCAGGCATGGCGGGCTGCAGGTCCCAAGCCCTGCCCCATGGGGAGGCAGCTGAGGTCCTGCGATAATTCAAACACATCGCGGGCGGGCCGGCACTGCTGGGGGACCCGGCACACCCTCCGCAGCTGCCAGCCAGGCCCAGTGGCTCACACCTGTAATCCCAGCACTTTGGGAAGCCGAGAGCGAGTGAGGGCTGCCAACATGCTGTCACCTCTCAGGAGGACCCAGGCTCCCATCCTTTGCTGCTCCATATATTTTCCTTCCATTTCTTCCTCTACCTCCACTTTCAATACTTATCCTCCCTTCTGGGTCTTCTTGCCGCTTTGGGCTGCAGGCCACGCGTGCAACACACATGGTGGGTGCTAATGAGGGATGCCAGGATCCCCGGGGCATGGCGAAGGGGCTGCTGGGAAGGCAAGTACTTCCGTCGGGGGACCCAGGCCACCCTTCTCTGCCATGCCATTTTTTCTTTCCACAGTTGCCTCTACCTCCCCTTTCAAGCCTTATCTTCCACTCTGGGGCTTCTTGCCACTTTGTGGAGCCCCCGCGGGTGTGACACACACCGTGGGTGTGAACCAGGCATGCCAGGATCCCCGGGGCCCAGTGCAGGGGATGCTGGGAAGGCACTTTCTTCCGTGGGGGCACCCAGGCGCCCCTCCTCTATGGCGCCTTTTTTCCCTTCCACAGGTTCAACTGCCCCCAACTTTCAAGCCTTATCTTCCCTTCTGGGCCGTCTTGCCGCTTTGGGGTAGTCCCTACGGGCATGACATGCACCATGGTTGTGAACCAGGGTTGCCAGGATCCCCACGTCCCCATGCAGGGGCTTTTGGGAAGGCACTTTCGTCCGTGAGGCGACCCAGGCCTCCCTCTTCTGCGTGCCATTTATTTCCTTCCACAGGTGCCTCTGCCTCCCCTTTCAAGCCTTATCTTCCCTTCTGGGCTTTCTTGCTGCTTTGCGGTGCCACCTGTGGGAGCGACACACACCGTGGGTGCGAAGCAGGGATACCAGGATGCCAGTGGCCCAATGCAGAGGCTGCTGGGAAGGCACTTTCGTCCGTGCTGTGACCCAGGCCTTCCTCTCAGCTGCGCCATTTTTTTCCTTCCATAGGTGCTTCTAATTCCCCTTTCAAGCCTTGTCTTCCCTTCTGGGCATTCTGCCAATTTCGGGTTCCCCCCATGGAGGCTACACGCACCGTAGGTCCGTACTGGGGATGCCAGGATCCCTGGGTACCCGCGCAGGGTCTGCTGGGAAGGCAATTTCATCCGAGGGGGGACCCAGGCCCCCTCCTCTGCTGTGCCTTTTTTTTCCTTCCACATGTGCGTCCACCTCCCCTTTCAAGTCTTATCTTCCCTTCTGGACCTTCTTGCCACTTTGGGGTGCCTCCTGTGGGCGTGAAAGGTACTGTGGGTGTGTACCAGACATGCCAGGATCCCCGGGGCCCAGCACAGGGGCTACTGGGAAGGCACTTTCGTGCGTTGGGGGACCGAGGCCCCCCTCTTCTGCCGTCCCTTTTTTTTTCCTTCCACAGAAGCCTCTACCTCCCCTTTCAAGCCTTATCTTTCCTTCTGGGCCTTCTTGCCACTTTGGGGTGCCCCCCCATGGGCGCAACATGTACTGTGGGTGTGAACCAGGGATGCCAGTATCCCCGGGACCCCGCACAGGGACTGCTGGGAAGGCACTTTCTTCCATGGGGGGACCCAGGCCCCCTCCTCTGCCGTGACATTTATTTTCCTTCCACAGGTGCCTCTACCTCCCCTTTCCAGCCTTATCTTACCTTCTTGGCCTTCTTGCCATTTTGGGGTGCCTCCTGCGGGCACGACACCCACCGTGGGTGCAAACCAGGGATGCCACTATACCAGGGGCATGATGTAGGAGCTGCTGGGAAGGCAGTTTCTTCCATGTGGTGACCCAGGCCCCCCTCCTCTGCCGCGTCATTTTGTTTCATTTCACAAGTGCCTATACCTCCCCTTTCAAGACTTACCTTTCTTTTTGGGCCTTCTTGCCACATTGCAGTGTGCCCCCTGGGTGCGACACTCACTGTGGGTGTGAAACAGCGATGCCAGTGTCCTCGGGGCCTTGCAAAGGCACTTTCGTCCCTTGGGGGCCCAGGCCACCCTCCTCTACCACGCTATTTTTTTTCCTTGCACAGGTGTCTCTACCTCTCCTTTCAAGCCTTATCTTCCCTTCTGGGCTTTCTAGCCGCCTTGGGGTGCCCCCATTGGCGTGACACACACTGTGTGTGAACCAGGAATGCCAGGGTCCATGGGTCCCCACGGAGGGGCTGCTGGGAAGGCAGTTTCACCCGTGGGGGACCCACATCCCCCTCCACTGCCGTGCCAATATTTTTTCCATCCACAGGTGCCACTACCTCCCCTTTGAAGCCTTATCTTCCCTTCTCGGCCTTCTTGCTGTTTGGGGTGCCCCCTGTGCGCACAACACGCACCATTGGTGCCGACTAGGAATGCCAGGATTCCCGGGGCCCCATGAAGGGACTGCTGGATAGTCAATTTCTTCCGTGGGGAGACCGAGGCCCCCCTCCTCTGCTGCACTGTTTTTGTTCCTTCCACAGGTGTCTCTACCTACCCTTTTAAGTTTAATCTTCGCTTACGGGCCTTCTTGCTGATTTGGGGTGCTCCCCGCACGTGTGACATGCACGGATGGTACGAACTAGGATGCCAGTTTTCCCTGGGCGCTAAGCAGGGGCTTCTGGGAAGGCACTTTCATCTGTGATGCGACCCAGGCCCCCATCCTCTGCTGTGACTTTTTTTCATTCTACAGTTGCCTCTACCTCCCCTTTCAAGACTCATCTTCCTTTCTGGGCTTTCTTGCTGCTTTAGGGTGCCCCCCAAGGGCACAACATGCATCGTGAATGTGAAACAAGGTCGCAAGTATCCCCAGGTCCCCACACTGGGGCTGCTGGGAAGTCACATTCCTCCGTAGGGGGACCCAGGCCCCCTTCTCAGCTGTGCCATTTTTTTCCCTTACATAGGTGCCTCTACCTCCCCTTTCAAGCCTTATCTTCCCTTCTCAACATTCTTGCCACTTTGGGGTGCCCACAGTGGGCGTGACACACATCGTGGGTGCGAGCCAAGGATGCCAGGATCCACGGGGCCATGCGCAGGGGATGCTGGGATGGCACTTTTTTCCCTGGGGGGACCCAGGCCCCCCTCCTCTGCAGTGCTGTATTTTTTCCTTCCACAGGTGCCTCTACCTCCTCTATCAAGTCTTATCTTCCCTCTGGGATTTCTTGCTACTTTCGGGTGCCATCTGTGGGCACGACACGCCCCATGAGTGTGAACCAGGGACACGAGGGTCCCCGGGGCCCCGCGCAGGGGCTGCTGGGAAGGCACTTTCATCCGTGGGGTCAGAGGCCACTTCCTCTGAAACGCAGTTTTTTTTTTCCTTCACAGGTGCCTCTACCTCCCCTTCCAGCCCTTATCTTCTATTCTGGACATTCTTGCCGCTTGGGGTGCCCCCTGCAGGTGCGACACACACCGTCGGTGTGAACCAGGGATGCCAGGATCCCCAGGGCCCGGCGAAGAGGCTGCTGGGAAGGCACTTTCATCGGTGGGAAGGCCCAGGCCCCTCTCCTCTGTCACAAGATTTTTTCCTTCCATAGGTTCCTCTACCTCCCCTTTCAAGCCTTATATTCCTTTATTGGCCTTCTTGCCACTTTGGGGTGCCCACCACAAGTGCGACACACACCATGGGTGTGATCCAGGAATGCCAGTATCCCCATGTCCCCGCGCAGGGGCTGCTGGGAAGGCACTTTCATCTGTGTGGGTACCCAGGCCCCCCTCTTCTTCCGTGCCATTTTTTTTTCCGTAAGTGCCTCTACCTCCCCTTTCAGGCCTTATCTTCACTTCTGGGCCATCTTTCCATTTTTGTGGTGCCCGCCCACATGTGACATTCACCGTGGGTGCAAACCAGGGATGCCAGGATCCCTGGGGCCCACCACAGGGGCTGCTGGGAAGGTACTTTCGTCCGTGGTGGGACCCAGGTACCCCTCCAGTGCTGCACCATTTTTTTCCTTCCACAGGTGCCTCTATGTCCCCTTGCAAGACTTATCTTCCCTTCTGTGCATTCTTGCCGCATTCGGGTGGCCCCCTTTGTGAGACACATGCACCTTTGGTGTGAACCAGGGATGCCAGGATCTCCAAGGCACCATGCAGGGGATGCTATGGAGGTACCGTTGTCCGTGGGGGGGATCCAGACCCCCCTCCTCTACTGCGCCATTTTTTTTTCCTTCCACGGGTTCCTCTATCTCCCCTTTCAAGCCTTATCTTCCCTTCTGGACCTTCTTGCCCTCTGTCTGTCCCGCCCCTTTCAAGCCTTATCTTCCCTTCTGGGCCTTCTTGCCACTTTGGGGTGCCGCCCGTGGGTGCGACACACACTGTGGGTGCGAACTAGGTATGCCAACATCCACAGGACCCCAAGCCGCGGCTTCTGGGAAGGCACTTTCGTCTGTGATGCGAACCAGGCCCTTATCCTCTGCCGTGCCTTTTTTTTTTTTCATTCCACAGGTCTACATCCCCTTTCAAGCCTTATCGTCGCTTTTGGGCCTTCTTGCCGCTTTGAGGTGCCCCGCAAGGGCGCGACACGCACCGTGAATGCGAACCAGGGATGCAAGTATCCCCAGGTACTCACGCTGGGTCTGCTAGGAAGTCACATTCCTCCGTGGGCAACCCAGGCTTCCATAGGTGCCTCTACCTCCCCTTTCAAGCCTTATCTTCCCTTCTCGGCCTTCTTGCCACTTTTAGTTGCCCACAGTGGACACGACACGCATCGTGGGTGCAAACCAGGGACACCAGGATCCACGGGTCCCCATGCAGGGACTGCTGGGAAGCCACTGTCGTCTGTGAAGGGACCCAGGTCTCCCTCTTCTGCCACGCCATTTTTTTTCTTTCCACAGGTGTCTCTACCTCCCCACTCAAGCCTTATCTTTCATTTTGGGAGTTCTTGCCGCTTTTGGGTGCCAACCACTGGTGCGACAAGCACAGTGCGTGTGAACCAGGGAAGCAAGTGTCCCCGGGGCCCTACGCAGGGTCCGATGGGAAGGCACTGTCATCCGTGGGGGACCTAGGCCCCCTTCTCTGCCACACAGCTTTTTTTTCTTCACAGGTGCCTCTACATCCCCTTCCAAGCCTTATCTTCCATTCTGGACATTCTTGCCACTTCCAGGTGCCCCCCAGGGGCGCAACATCCACGGTCGGTGTGAACCAGGGACGCCAGGATCCCCGGGGCCTGGCACAGGGGCTGCGGGGTAGGCACCTTCATCTGTGGGAAAGCCCAGGCACCCCTCCTCTGCCACGAGTTTTTTTCCTTCCACAGGTTCCTCTACCTCCCCTTTCAAGCCTTATATTCCCTTCTTGGCCTTCTTGCCGCTTTGGGGCACCCCCCTGAAGGCACGACATGCACCATGGGTGTGAACCAGGGATGCCAGTATCCCCATGTCCCCACACAGGGCTGATGGGAAAGCACTTTCGTCCTTGTGGGGACCCAGGCCCCCCTCCTCTGCTGCGCCATGTTTTTTTCCACAAGTGCCTCTACCTCCCCTTTCAGGCCTTATGTTCCCTTCTGGGCCTTCTTGCCGTTTTGTGCTACCTGCCCACGCGTGACATTCACTGTGTGTGCAAACCAGCGATACGAGGATCCCCAGGGCCCACCGCAGGGGCTGTTGGGAAGGCATTTACCTCCATGGGAGGACCCAGGCCCCCTTCCACTGCCGTGCCATCTTTTTTCCTTCCACCTTCGTTTCTACCTCCCCTTTTGAAGCCTTAACTTCCCTTCTCAGTCTTCTTGCCACTTTGGGGTGTCCCCAGCGGGCGCGACACACAGCGTGGTTCCGAACCAGGGATGCCAGGATCCCCAGGGACCCGCGCAGTGGCTCCTGGGAAGCCACTTTCATCCGTGGGGGGACCGAAGCATCTCTCTTCTGCCACGCCATTTTTTTTCCTTCCACATGTGTCTGTACCTCCCCTTTCAAGCCTTATCTTCCCTTCTGGGCCTTCTTGCCACTTTGGGGTGAACCCCATGGGCACAAAAAGCAACATCTGTGTGAACCAGGGACGCCAGTATGTCTGCAAACCCATGCAGGTGCTGCTGGGAGGCAGGTTTGTCCGTGGAGGGTCCCAGGCCCCCCTCCTCTGCCGTACCATTTTTTTTCCTTCCACAGGCGCGTCTACCTCTCCTTTCAAGCCTTATCTTCCCTTCTGGGACTTCTTGACTCTTTGGGGGTGGCCCTGCGGGCACGACACGCACAGTGGGTGCGATCCAAGGACACCAGGATCTCCGGGGCTCCGTGTAGCGGCTGCTGGGAAGGCACTTTCGTCCATGCAGTGACCCAGGCCCCACTCCTCTGCCACGCCATTTTTTCTTCTTACACAGGTGCCTCTACCTCCCCTTTCAAGACTTATCTTCCATTCTGGGCCTTCTTGTTGCTTTGGGTTGCCAACCGGTGGCGTGACACACACTGAGGGTATGAACCAGGGAAGCCAGGATCCCTAGGGCCCTGCTCGGGGCTGCTGGGAAAGCACTTTCATCAGTGGGGGGACCCAGGCCCCCTCCTCTGCTGCGCCATTTTTCTTCCTTCCACAGGTGCCTCTACCTCCCTTTTCTAGCCTTATCTTCCCTTCTGGGCCTTCTTGCCGCTTTGGGGTGCCCCTGCGGGTGCAACACACACCGTGGTTGCAATCCAGGGATGCCAGGATCCCCGGTGCCCCGTGCAGGGACTGCTGGGAAGGCACTTTTGTCTATGGGAGGACCCAGGAGCCCCTCCTCTGCTGCACCGTTGTTGTTGTTTTTTTCTTTCACAGTTTCCTCTACCTCCGCTTTCAAGCCTTATCTTTCCTTCTGGGGCTTCTTGTAGCTAGTGGTGCCCCAGTGGGTGCGATATGCACCATAGGTGCAAACCAGGGATGCCAGGTTCTCCAGGGCCCCACACAGTGGTTGCTGGGGAGGCACTTTCATCCGTGGGGTGACTCAGGACTCCCTAATCTCCTGCACCTTACTTTTTCCTTCCCCGGTTGCCTCTACCAACACTTTGAAGCCTTATCTTCCATTCTGAGCCTTCTTGCTGCTTTGGGGTGCCCCCTGACATGCACGACACGCACCGTGGATGCGAACCAGGGATGCCAGGATCCCCGAGGCCCTGCGCAGTGTCTGCTGGGAAGGCACTTTCCTCCGTGGGGGGACCCAGGCCCTCCTCCTTTGCCACATCGTTTTCTTTTCCTTCCACAGTTGCCTCTACCTCCCCTTTCAAGACTTATCTTCCCTTCTGGGCGTTCTTGACGCTTTTGGGTGCCCCCCACAGGCAGGACATGCACCATGGGTGTGAACAAGGGATGCCAGGTTCCCCGGGGCACCGCACAGTGGCTGCTGGGTAGGAACTTTCATCCGTGGGGGGACCTAGGCCCCCCTACTCTGCCGAGCCATATTTTTTCAAGCCTAATCTTCCCTTCTAGGAATTCTTGCCGCTTTGGGGTGGCCCCATGGGTGCAACACACACCGTTGGTGCAAACCAGGGACGCCAGGATGCCCGGGGCACCTCACAGGAGCTGCTGGGAAGACACTTTCGTCCGTGGGGTGACTCAGATACCCTCCTATACCACGCCATATATTTTCCTTCCACAGGTGCCTCTACCTCCCATTTCAAGCCTTATCTTCCCTTCTAGGCCTTCTTGTCACTTGGGGGTGCGCCCCATGTGTGCGACACGCGCCATGCGTGCGAACCAAGGATGCCCGGATCCACAGGACCCTGCACAGGTGTTGCTAGGAAGGCACTTTGGCCGTGGGGGGAACGGAGGCACCCCTCCTCTGCTGTGTCATTTTTTTCCTTCCACAGGTGACTCTACCTCCCCTTTCAAGCCTTATCTTCCTTTTAGGGCCATCTTGCCACTTTGCCGTGCCCCTCTTGGGTGCGACATGTACCATGGGTGTGAACCAGGGACGCCAGGATCTCCAGGGCCCCGCGCAGGGTCTACTAGGAATGTACATTCGTGCCTGGGGGGACCCAGGTCTCCCTGCTTTGCCGCACCTTTTTTTTCCTTCCACATGTTCCTCTGCCTCCCCTTTCAAACCTTATCTTTCCTCCTGGGCCATCTTGCTGCTTTGGGGTGGTCCCCGTGGGTGCAACACACACTGTGGATGCGAACCAGGGACACCAGTTTCCCTGGGTCCCCATGTAGGGGGTGCTGGGAAGACACTTTTATCTGTGGGGAGACCCAGGATCCCCTCCTCTGCCACGCCATTTTTTTCCTTCAACGGGTGCTCTACCTCCCCTTTCAAGCCTTATCTTCCCTTCTGGGCCTTCTTTCCACTTTGGGGTGCCCCGCCACCATGACATGCACCATGGGTGCGATCCAGGGATGCCAGGAAACCCGGGACCCCCTGTAGGTGCTGCTGGGAAGGCACATTCTTCTGAGGGGGGATGAGGCACTCCTCCTCTGTTGCGCCATTTTTTTTCCTTCCACAGTTACTGCTAACTCACCTTTCAAGCCTTATCTTCCCTTCTGGGCCTTCTTGCCACTTAGGCATGCCCGCCGTGGGCGTGACATGCACAGTGGTTGTGAACCAGTGATACTAGTATCCCCCGGGCCCTGCGCAGGGGCTGCTAGGGAGGGCCTTTCATCCGTGGGGTGACGAAGGCCCCCCTCAACTGCCACACCATTTTTTTCCTTCCACAGGTGCCTCTATCTCCTCTTTCAAGCCTTATCTTCCCTTCTGGGCCTTCTTGCCACTTTGGGGTGCCCCCGCCACCAAGACAGGCACCATGGGTGTGATCCAGGGATGCCAGGATACCTGGGGCCCCCCGTAGGGGCTGCTGGGAAGGCACTTTCTTACGTTGGGGGAACCTGGCCCCATCCTCTGCCACGTGGGTTTTTTTCCTTCCACAGTTGCCTGTTGCCGCTTTGGGGTTCCCCCCGGTGGGCGCAGCACACACCGTGGGTGCGAACCAGGGATGCCAGGATTCCTGGGGACCTGCACAGGGACTGCTGGGAAGGCACTTTCGTCCGTGGGGGGACTCAGGCCTCTCTTCCCTGCCGCACCATTTTTTACCTTCTACAGGTGCCTCTATCTTAACCTTCAAACCTTATCTCCTCTTTTGTGCCTTCTTGCCACTTTGGGGTGCACCCCCGTGGGCACGACACGCACTGTGCATGCGAACCAGGGATGCCAGGATTCCCGCGGCCCCACGTAGGGGCTGCTGGGAAAGGACTTTCGTCC
Organism: Homo sapiens; assembly: GCF_000001405.40. Lineage (NCBI taxonomy): Eukaryota > Metazoa > Chordata > Mammalia > Primates > Hominidae > Homo > Homo sapiens. The sequence goes on along the minus strand of NC_000012.12, from coordinate 34,300,741 downwards.
GTGGGGGGACCCAGGTCCCCTTCTCTGCCGCACCATTTTTTTCCTTCCATAGGTGCCTCTATTTCCACTTTCAAGCCTTATCACCCTTTATGGGCCTTCTTGTCTATTTGGGGTGTCCCCCGCGTGCAGGACATGCACCATGGGTGCGAACTAGGGATGCACGTTTCCCGGGGGCCCCGCGCAGAGGCTACTGGGAAGGCACTTTCGTCCGTAGGTTGACCCAGGGGCAACTTCTCTTCCTCTCCATGTTTTTCAACAGGTGCCTCTACCTCCCCTTTCAAGACTTGTCTTCCAATCTGGGCCTTCTTCCCGATTTTTGCTGCCCCTGGCATGTGGGACACACATCGTGGGTGTGAACGAGGGATGCCAGGATACCGGGGCCCTGCGCAGGGGCTGCTGGGAAGGCACTTTCTTCCACTAGGGGGACCCAGGTCCAAGTTCTCTGCCACGCATTTTTTTTCTTCCACAGGAGCCTCTACCTCCACTTTCAAGCCTTATCTCCCCTTATGGCCCTTCTTGCTGCTTTGGGGAGACCCCATTGGTGCGACAGGTACTGTGGTTGCGAACCAAGGATGCCAGTATCCCCAGGGCCCCATGCAGGTGCTGCTGGGAAGGCACTTTCGTCCGTGGGAGTACCAAGGTCCCGCTTCTTGGCCCCGCAGTTTTTTTTTTTTCCTTCCACAGGTGCCTCGACCTCACCTTTCAAGCCTTATCTTCCCTTATGGGTCTTCTTGCCGCATTGGGGTGCCCCCGCCTGATACACGAACCCAACGACGCCCTCAGACCCCACGCAGGGGCTGCTGGGAAGGCACTTTGGTCCGAGGAAGGACCCAGACCCCCTTTCTCGGCATCGCAATTTTTTTCCTTCAACAGGTGCCTCAACCTCCCCTTTCAAGCCTTATCTTCCCTTACAGGCCTTCTTGCGGCTTTGGGGTGTCCCCATGTGGGTGAGACACACAACCCACGATGCTGCAGACCACACTGGGGCTGCTGGGATGGCACTTCCATCCGTGTAAGGTCCCACACCCCCTTTTTTGGCCGTGCCATTTTTTTTCCTTCCACAGGTGCCTCGACCTCCGCTTTCAAGCCATATCTTCCCTTATGGGCCTTCTTGATGCTTTGGGGTGACCCCCGTGTGTGAAACACGCATCCCACGATCCCCGCTGACTTCACGCAGGGGTTGCTGTGAAGACACTTCTGTCCGTAGAAGGACCCAGTCCCCCTTTCACGGATGCGCCATTTTTCTTCCTTCCACAGGTGCCTCGACCTCTATTTTCAAGTTTATCTTCCATTACGAGCCTTCTTGTGGCGCTGGGGTTCCCCTCGTGGATGAGACACGCACCCCACGATCCTCGAGGATCCCACGCAGGGACTGTTCTGAAGGCACTTTTGTCCATGGAAGGACCCAGGCCCCCCTTCTCGGCCACACCATTTTCTTCCTTCCACAGCTGCTTCCCATTCCCCTTTTGATCTGGAGCTTCACTTCAGGGCCTTTTGTCGCTTTGGGGTGCCTCCAGTGGGCGGGAGGACCAAGGTTCCCCCTTTTCAGCCCACCAATTTTTTTCCTTCCGCAGGTGCCTCGACCTCCCCTTTCAAGCCTTATCTTCCCGTACGGGCCTTCTTGATGCTTTATTGTGCCCTCCGTGGGTGAAACACGCACACCACTATCCCCGCAGACCCCATGCACAGGCTGCTGGTAAGGCACTTTCATCCGTGGGAGGACCGAGGCCCGCTTTCTCAGATGCCCCGTTTTTATTCCTTCCATGATTGCCTTGACCTCCACTTTCAAGCGTTATCTTCCCTTATGGGCCTTCTTGCAGCTTTGGGGTGCCCCCCGTGGTTGACACACGCACCCCATGACCCCTGTGAACCCCATGCGGGGCTGCTGGAAAGGCACTACCTTCCGTGGAAGGACCCAGGTCGCCTTTCTCGGCCGTGACTCTTTTTTTCCTTCCACAGGTGCCTTGACCTCCCCTTTCAAGGCTTATGTTATCTTACGGGCCTTCTTGCTATTAGGGGTGGCCCCCGTTGGTGGGACACGCACCCCATGACCCCCGCGGTCCCCACGCAGGGGCTGCTGGGAAGGCACTTTCTTCCAAAGGGCGGACCCAGGACCCCGTCTCTGCTGCACTGTTTTTCTTCTTTCCACAGCTGCCTCTCCTCCCTTTTCAATCCTGACCTTCACTCGGGGCCTTTTGTCATTTTAGGGTGCCCCCCGTGGGCTTTTTGTGCACCTTGGGTGCAGGCCAGGTATGCAAGATCCCCCGGGCCCCATGTAGGAGCTGCTGGGAAGGTACCTGCATCCGTGTAAGGACCAAGGTCCGCCTTTTTGGGCCGGCCAACTGTTTTCCTTCCACAGGTGCCTGGACCTCCCCTTTCAAGGCTTATCTTCCCGTTTGTGCATTCTTGCCCCTTTGAGGGGTGCCTCCTGTGGGTCAGACGTGCACCCTATGACCCCCGTGGATGCCACACAGAGGCTGCTGGGAAGACACTTCCATCCGTGGAAGGACCAAGGCCCACTTCTTGGCCGTGCAGTTTTCCTTCCTTCGACAGCAGCCATAACCTCCCCTTTCAATCCTGACTTTCACTTCAGTGACTTTTGTCACTTTGGGGTGCCCCTCATGGGATTGTCGTACACCATTGGTGTGGGCCAGTGATGCCACTATCCCCAGGGCCCAGTGCAGGGGCTGCAAGGAAGACCCTTTCATCTGTGGGAGGACCCAAACCCACTTTCTCAGCCGCCCCGTGTTTTTTTTCCTTCCACACATGCTTCGACCTCCCCTTTCAAGCCTTATCTTCCCTTATGGGCATTCTTGCCACTTTGGGGTGCTCCCTGTGGGTGAGACACGCACCCCACGACACCCCCGGACTCCACGTTGGGGCTTCTGGGAAGGCACTTAGATCCCCAGAAGCACCCAGGCCCCCTTTCTCTGCCGCTCTGCTTTTTTTCCTTCCACAGGTGCCTCAACCTCCACTTTCAAGCCTTATCTTCCCTTATGGGCCTTTTTGCCGCTTTGAGGTGCCCCCAGTGGGTGAGACACGGACCCGACGACCCCCGTGGACCCCACACCAGGGCTGCTGGGTAGGCAGTTTCCTCTGTGGGAGGAACCAGGCCCCCCTTCAAGGTCACGCCATTTTTCCATGTTCCACAGCTGCCTCCACTGCCGCTTACAATTCTAACTTTCACTTTGGGGTATTTTATGACATTGGAGTGCCACCGTGGGTTTGTCATGCACGGTGGGTGCAGGCCAGGGATGCCCCAATCCCCCAGGCTATGTGCCGGGGCTGCTTGGAAGGCATTTTCGACCGTGGGAGGACCCAGGCTGCCTTTCTCAGCATCGCCCTTTATTTTCCTTCCACAGGTGCCTTGACCTCCCCTTTGAAGCCTTATCTTCCCTTTTAGGCCTTCTTGCTGCTTTGGGGTGCCCCCCATGGTTGAGACACGCACCCCAAGGCCCCCGAGGACGCCAGGCAGGGGCTGCTGGGAAGGCATTTTCTTCCGTGGAAGGTACAAGGCCCTCTTTCTCTTCTGCACCATTTTTTTTCCATGCACAGGTGCCTCGACCTCCCCTTTCAAGCCTTATCTTCCCTACAGGCCTTTTTGACAATTTGGCATGCCACCTGAGGGTGAGACACGCACTGCATGACCCCTGGGGACCCCAGGCTTAAGTTGCTAAGAAGGCACTTTCATCCGTGGGAGGGCCCAGACACGCTTCCTTGGCCGTGCCATTTTTTTTTCCTTGCACAGGTGCCCTGACCTCCCCTTTCAAGTCTTATCTTCCCTTACGGGCCATCTTGCCACTTTGGGGTGCCCCCTGTGGGTGAGACACGCACTGCAAGACCCCTGGGGACCCCAGGCACGGGCTGCTGTGAAGACACTTTCTTCCGTGTGAGGACTCAGGCCCACTTTCTCAGCCACGCCTTTTTATTTCCTTCCACAGGTGCCTTGACCTCACCTTTCAAGACTTGTCTTCCCTTACCGGCTCTCTTGACAGTTTGAGGTGCCCCCCCGTGGTTGACACATGCACAGCACGACCCCCGCGGACCCCATGCAGGGGCTGCTGGGAAAGGCCTTTCCTCCGTGTGAGGACCCAGGCCCGCTGTCTCAGCCACACTATTTTCTTTCCTTCCACAGTTCCCTCAATCTCCCCTTTCAAGCCTTAGCTTCCCTTATGGGCCTTCTTGACGCTTTGAGGTGCCCCCATAGGTGAGAAACGCACTGCATGACCCCCGCGGATCCCGTGCAAGGGCTGCTGGGAAGGCAGTTTCATCCCTGGGAGGACCCAGGCCAGGCCCCCCCTTCTCAGCCGCGCCGTTTTTCTTCCTTCCACAGCGGCCTCCACCTCCCCTTTCAATCCTGACCTTCACTTCGGGGCTTTTTGTCACTTTGGGGTGCCACCCGTGGGCTTTTTGCACACTGTGGGTGCAGGCCAGGGATGCCACAATCCCCCAGCCCTCATGCACAGTCTGCTGGGAAGGCACTATCATCCGTGGGAGGACCCACGCCCGCTTTCTCTGCCACTCCGTCTTTTTTCCTTCCACAGGTGCCTCGCCTTCCCTTTTCAAGCCTTATCTTCCCTTATGGGCCTTCTTGCTGCTTTGCAGTGACCCCCATGGGTGAGACACGCACCCCACGACCCTGCGGACCCCACACTTGGGCTGCTGGGAAGGCACTTCCATTCTCGGAAAGACTCAGGACCCCTTTCTCGGCTGTGCCAATTTTTTTCCTTCCACAGGTGCCTCGACCTCACCTTTAAAAGATTTTCTTCCATTATAGGCCTTCTTGCCGCTTTGCGGTGCCTACCGTGGGTGAGACACGCACCAGACGACCCCCGTGGACCCAATGCAGGGCTTGCTGGGAAGTTAGTTTCGTCCCCGGGAGGACCTAGGCTCCCCATCTTGTCTGTGCCGTTTTTCATCCTTCCACAGCTGCCTCCACCTCCCCTTTCAATCCTGACCTTCAATTCGGGGACTTTTGTCGCTTTGGGGTGCCCCCCGTGGGCTTGTGGCACACTGTGTCTGCGGGCCAGGGATATGACGATCCCCCGGGCCACCCACAGGGGCTGCCGGGAAGGCACTTCCGTCCGTGGGAAGACCCAGCCCCCTTTCTCAGCTGCGCCATTTTTTTCCTTCCACAGGTGCTTTGACCTCCCCTTTCAAGACTTAACTTTCCTTATGGGCCTTCTTGCCGCTTTGGGATGACTCCCCTGTGTAAGACACGCACCGCACAACCCCCACAGATCCTAGTGGTGTCTCACCCACGGGGTGCATGTCTCATACACAGGGGGCACCTCAAGCCGGTAACAAGAGCCATAAGGGAAGATAAGGCTTGAAAGGGAAGGTTGAGGCACCTGTGGAAGGAAAAAAAATGGCACGGCCAAGAAAGCGGGACTGGGTCCTCCCAGGGAAGAAAGTGCCTTCCCAGCAGACCCTGCATGGGGTCTGCATGGGTCATGCGGTGCGTGTCTCAACCAAGGGTGACACCCCAAAGTGGCAAGAAGGCCCTTAAGGGAAGATAAGGCTTGAAAGTGGAGGTCGTGGCACCTGTGGGAGGAAGAAAAAGTGGCGTGGCCAAGAAAGGTGTCCTGGGTCCTAAAATGGACAAAAGTTTCTTCCCAGTAACCCCTGCGTGGGATCCGCGGGGGTCGTGGGATGCGTGTGTCACCCACATGCAGCACCCCAAAGCGTCAAGAAGGCCCACAAGGGAACATAAGGGTTGAAAGTGGAGGTTAGGCACGTGTGGAAGGAAAAATATGTGCGGCCAAGAAGGGGGGCCTGGATCATCCCATGGACGAAAGTGCCTTCCCAGCAGGCCCTGCGTGGTGCCCGGGGGATCGTGGTGTCCCTGGCCTGCAGCCACGGTGTGTGACAAGCCCACGGCGGGCACCCCAAAGGGACAAAAGTCCCCAGAATGAAGGTCTGGATTGAAAAGGGAGGTGGAGGCAGCTGTGGAAGGAAGAAAAATGGCATGTCCGAGAAGGGGGGCGGGGGCCTACCCAGAGACAAAAGTACCTTCCCAGCAGAACCTGCGCAGGGCCCAGGGGATCATGGCATCCCTGGCCTGCACCCACAGTATGCAACAAGCCCAAGGGGTTCTCCGCAATGCGGCAAGAAGGCCCACAAGGGAAGATAAGGCTTGAAAGGGGAGGTCGAGGCAACTGTGGAAGGAAAAAAAAATGAAGTGGTTGAGAAGGGGGGCCTGTGTCCTCCCACAGACGAAAGTGCCTTCCCAGCAGCCCCAGCACAGTGCCCAGGGGATCATGTGGTCCCTGACCCACACCCACGATGCGCAACAAGCCCACGGTGGGCACCCCAAAGCTAGAAAAGGTCCTGAAGTGAAGGTCAAGATTAAAAGAAGAGGTGGAGACAGCTGTGGAAGGAAGAAAAACGGTGCAGCCCAGAAGGGGGGCCTGGGTACTCCCACGGACGACAGTGCCTTCCCAGCAGCCCCTGCGTGGGGTTCGAGGGGGTGTGGCGTCCTTAGCTCGCCCCCAGGGTGCGTGTCTCACCAAAAGGGGGGACACCAAAGTTGCAAGAAGGCCCATAATGGAAGATAAGGCCTGAAAGGGGACATTGAGGCACCTACGGAAGGAAAAAAACAGACACGACCGAGAAAGGGGACCTGGGTCCTCCCACAGAGAGAAGTGCCTTCCCAGCTGCCCCTGTGTGGGATCCCTGAGTGTCAATGAGTACGTGTCTCAACCACGGAGGGCACCCCAAAGCGGAAAGAAGGCCCATAATGGAACATAATGCTTGAAAGGGGAGGTTGAGGCACCAGTGGAAGGAAAAAAAAACGGCACGGCTGAGTTGGGGGAACTGAGTCCTCCCATGGATGAAAGTGCCTTCCCAACAGCCCCTGCGCGGGGCCTAGGTGATCGTGGCATATCAGGCGCACACCCACGGTGTGCAACAAGCATATGGGGGGCACCCCAAAGAGACAAAAGGCCCTGAAGTGAAGGCCAGGATTGAAAGGGGAGCTGGAGGCAGCTGTGGATGGAAGAAAAATTGTGTGGCAAAAGGTTGCCCGGGTCCTCCCACAGACGAAAGTATCTTTCCAGCAGCCCCTACGTGGTGTCTGCAGGGGTCGTGGTGTCTTGGCTTGCCCCCAGTGTGCGTGTCTCAACCACCGGGGGAACCCCAAAGCGTCAACAAGGCCCAAAAGGGAAGATAAGGCTTGAAAGGGGAGGTTGAGACACCTGTGGAAGGTAAAAATGTCGCGACCAAGAAGTGGGGCCTGGGTCCTCCCACGAACGGAAGTGCCTTCCCAGCAGCCACTGCATATGGGTCGCGGAGGTTGTGGTGTTCCTGGCTCACACTCAGGGTGTGTGTCTCACCCACAGGGGGCACCCTAATGCAGCAAGAAGGCCCATAAGGGAAGATAAGACTTGAAAGAGGAGGTCGAGTCACTTGTAGAAGGAAAAAAGAATGGCGTGGCCGAGAAACGGACAAAAGTGCCTTCCCAGCAGCCCCTGCGTGGGGCCCACGGGGGTCGTACTGTGCGTGACTCACAGACACGGGGCACCCCAAAGCAGTAAGAAGACTGACAAGGGAAGATAAGGCTTGAAAGGGGTGGTCAAGGCACCTGTGGAAGGAAAAAAAATGGCACGGCCGAGAAGGGGCACCTGAGTCCTCCCACGGATGGAAGTGCCTTCCCAGCAGTCCCTGCGTGGGGTCTGCGGGAGTCGTAGGGCGCGTGTCTCACCCATGCTGGGCACCCCAAAGCGGCAAGAAGGCCCATAAGGGAAGATAAGCCTTGATAGAGGAGGTCGAGGCACCTGTGGAAGGAAAAAAAATGGCGTGGCTGAGAAAGCGGGCCTGGGTCCTCCCACAGATGAAAGTGCCTCCCAGCAGCCCCTGTGCAGGGCCCGGACAAACGTGCCATTCCTGGCCCGCATCCACGGTGTGAGAGAAGCCCATGGGGGCACCACAAAGCGACAAAATGCCCCAAAGTGAAGGTCAGGATTGAAGGGGAGGTGGAGGCAGCTGTGGAAGGAAGAAAAACAGTGAGGCCATGAAAGGAAGCCTGGGTCCTCCCACGGAAAAAAATACGTTCCCAGAGACCCCTGCGTGGGGTCTGCAGGAGTCGTGGGGTATGGTTCTCACCCACGGGGGCACCACAAAGCAGAAAGGAGGCCCATAAGGGAAAATAACGCTTGAATGTTGAGGTCAAGATACCTGTGGAAAGAATCAAAATGTCAGCACAGCCAGGGGCCTGTGTCCTCCCAGGCACGAAAGTGCCTTCCCAGCAGCCCATGTGTAGAGTATGCGGGGGTCGTGTGGTGCGTGGCTCATGCACGGGGGGCACCCAAAAGCGGCAAGTAGGCCCGTAAGGGAAGATAAGGATTGAAAGGGGAGGTCCAAGCATGTGTGGAAGGGAAAAAAAAACGGTGCAGCCGAGAAACCGGGCCTGGGTACCCCCACGGACGAAAGTTCCTTCACAGCGGCCTGTGCGTGATGTTCCACGGGGGTCACAGGGTGCATGTCTCATACATGGGGGGGCACCCCAATAGGGCAAGAAGGCCCATAAGGGAAGATAAGCCTTGAAAGGGGAGGTTGAGGCACCTTTGGAAGGAAAAAAATTGGCGCGGCTGAGAAACAGGGCCTGTGTCCTCCCAATGAAGAAAGTGCCTTTCCAGCAGCCTCTGCACAGGGGTCGTTGGATCATGGCATTCCTGGCGTGCACCCACGGTGCGCGACAATCCCACGGGGGCACTCCAAAGCGACAAAAGACCCCGAAGTGAAGGCCAAAATTGAAAGGGGAGGTGGAGGCAGCTGTGGAAGGAAGAAAAACAGCACGGCCAAGAAGGGGGGCCTGAACCCTCCCATGGATGAAAGTGCCTCCCCAGCATCCCCTGCCTGGGGTCCGCGGTGGTCATGGCATCCTTTTCTTGCCACCATGGTGCATGTCTCACCAAGAGGAGGGGACCCCAAAGTGGCAAGAAAACCCATAAGGGAAAAATGGCGCCACGGAGAAAGGAGGTCTGGGTCCTTCCACGGATGGAAGTGCCTTCCCAGCAGCCCTTGCGTGGGGTCCGCGGGTGTCGTGGCATGGGTGTCTCACCCACAGGGAACACGCCAAAGTGTCAAGAAAGCCCGTCATGGAAGATAAGGCTTGAAAAGGGAGGTTGAGGCACCTGTGGAAGGAAATAACATGGCGCGGCCGAGAATAGGGGCCTGGGTCCTCCCTTGGATGGAAATGCCTTCCCAGCAACCCATGGGTGCGGTCCACGGGGGTTGTGGCATCCCTGGCTCATCCCCGGGGTGCTTGTCTCTCCCACGCGGGGCACCCCAAAGTGGGAAGAAGGCACATAAGGGAAGTCAAGGCTTGAAAGAGGAGGTCGAGGCAGCTGTGGAAGGAAAAAAATCAGCGCGGCCAAGAAAGTGTGCCTGGGTACTCCCACGGAAGAAAGTGCCTTTCCAGCAGCCCCTGCACAGGGTCCCAGGGATCTTGTCATCCCTGGCTCACACCCACGGTTTGTGACAAGCCCACGGGGGGCACCCCAAAGTGACAAAAGGCCCCGAAGTGAAGGTCATGTTTGAAAGGGGAGGTGGAGGCAGCTGTGGAAGGAAGAAAAACGGTGCGGCCGAGAAAGGGAGCCTGGGTTTTCCCACGGAGGAAAGTGCCTTCCCAGCAGCCCCTGCGTGGGTTCCGCGGGGGTCGTGCCATCCTTAGTTTGCCCCCAGGGTCCGTGTCTCACCAAAACGGGAGACCGAAAACCAGCAAGAAGGCCCATTAGGGAAGATAAAGCTTGAAAGGGGAGGTTGAGACACTTGTGGAAGAAAAAAATAGCACGGCCGAGAGGGGTGGCCTTGGTCCTACCACGGACCGAAGTTCCTTCCCAGTAACCCCTGCCTGGGGTCCGTGGGGTTCGTGTGGTGGGTATCTCACCGACGGAGGGCACCCCAAAGCGGCAAGAAGGCCCATAAGGGAAGATAAGGCTTGAAAGGGGAGGTCGAGGCACCTGTGGAAAGAAAAAAAATGGGAGGGGCCAAGAAAGAGGGCCTCGGTCCTTCCACGTACGGAAATGCCATCCCAGCAGCCCCTGCCTGATGTCCGAGAGGGTAATAGGATGCTTGTCTCACCCACGGGGGTCACCCCAAAGCGGCAAGAAGGCTCATAGGGGAAGATAAGGATTGAAAGGGTAGGTCCGGGCAACTGTTAAAGGAAAAAAAATGGCGAAGCTGAGACAGGGGGCCTGGGTCCTTCCACGGACGGAAGTGCCTACTCAGCAGCGCCTGCGCGGGGTCCACGTGGGTAGTGGGGTGCGTGTCTCAACCATGGGGGGCACCCCAAGGCGGCAAGAAGGCCCATAAGGGAAAATAAATCTTGAAAGGGGAGATCGAGGCACCTGTGGAAGGAAGAAAAAATGATGCGGTTGAGAAAGTGGTCCTGGATCCTCCCACGAACGAAGGTGCCTTCCCAGCAGCCCCTGCGAGGGGAATGGGGGATCGTGGCATCCCTGACCCACACCCACGGTGAACAAAAAGCCCCCAGGGGGCACCCCAAAGTGACAAAATGCCCTGAAGTGAAAGTCAGGATTGAAAGGGTAGGTGCAGGCAGTTGTCTAAGGAAGAAAAACAGCGCGGCAGTGAAGGGGGGCCTGGGTCCTCCCACGGACGATAGTGCCTTCTCAGAACCCCCTGCGTGGGGTCTGCGCTGGTCGTGGGGTGCGTGTCTCACGCACAGGGGGACCCCAAAGCAGCAAAAAGCCTGTAAGCTAAGGCTTGAAAGGGGAGGTCGAGGCACCTGTGGAAGGAAAAAAAAACGGCGCAGTCGAGACTGGGGGCCTGGGTCCTTCCACGAACGGAAGTGCCTACCCAGCAGTCCCTGCATGGGGTCCGCAGCGGTCGTGGGGTGCGTGTCTCACCCACGGGAGGCATCCCAGTGTGGCAAGAAGGACCGTAGGGAAGATAAGGCTTGAAAGGGGACGCACCTGTGGAAGGAAAAAAAAATGGCGCTGCCAAAAAGGCGGGCCTGGGTCCTCGACTAAAGAGCCTTCAAAGCAGCCCCTGCATGGGTCCCGGGGGACCGTGGCATCCCTGGCCCGCGCCAGCGGTGCGCGACAAGGCCATGGGGGGCACCCCCAAAGTGACAAAAGTCCCCGAAGTGAAGGTCAGGATTGAAAGGGGAGGTGGAGGCAGCCGTGGAAGGAAGAAAAACAGCGCGGCGGAGAAGGGGGGCCTGGATACTCTCACGGACAAAAGTCCTATCCCAGCAGCCCCTGTGTGGGGTCCGCAGGGGTCGTTGGGTGGTGTCTCACACGCGGGGGTTTCCCAACGTGGCAAGAAGGCCTGCAATGGAAGATAAGGCTTGAAAGGGGAGGTCAAGGCACCTGTGGACTGCTGGGAAGGCACTTTCATCCATGGGAGGACCCAGGACCCCCTTCTCGGCCGTGCCATTTTTTTTCCTTCCACAGGTGCCTCAACCTCCCCTTTCAAGCCTTATGTTCACTTATCGCTTTCTCGACGATTTGGGGTGCCCCCCCCCTGGGTGAAACACGCACCACACGACCCCTGGGGATCCCACGCTGGGGCTTCTGGAAAGGAACTTCCGTCCGTGGGAGGACCCAGGCCCCCTTTCTCGGTTGTGCCATTTTTTTTTCCTTCCACAGGTGCCTCAACCTCCCTTTTCAAGCCTTATCTTATGGGCCTTCTTGCCGCTTTGGGGTACCCCCTGTGGCTAGACACTCCCCCCCTGGGGTGAGCCAGGGATGCCATGACATCTCCGAACCCCACACAAGGGCTCTTGGGAATTAACTTTCTTCCGTGGGAGGACTCAGGACCCCTTTCTTGACCACGCCATTTTTTTTCCTTCCACAGGTGCCTCAACCTCCCCTTTCAATCCTTATCGTCCCTTATGGGCCATCTTGCCACTTTGGGATGCCCCCTGTGGGTGAGACACGAACCCCAGGGATCCCACGCAAGGGCTGCTGGGAAGGAATTTTCATCCGTGGGAGGAACCCAGCCCCCTTTCTCGGCCGTGCTGTGTTTTCTCCTTCCACAGGTGCCTCGACCTCCCCTATCAAGGCTTATCTTCCCTTACGGGCCTTCTTGCCTCTTTGAGGTGCTCCCCATAGGTGAGACAAACACCGAACAACCCTCGAGGTCCCCACACAGGGGCTAATGGGAAGGTACTTTCTTCCGTGGGAGGACTCAGGCCCACTTTCTCGGCCATGCCATTTCTTTTCCTTCCACAGGTGCCTCGACCTCCCCTTTCAAGTCTTATCTTAAATTAAGGGCCTTCTTGCCGCTTTGGGGTGCCCCCTGAGGGTGAGACATGCATCCCGGGGGCAAGCCATTGATGCCACGACCCCCACAGCTGACACGCTGGGCCTGTTGGGAAGGAATTTTCATCCATGGGAGGACCCAGGACCTCCTTCTCGGTCGCGCCATTTCTTTTTCTTCCACAGGTGCCTCAACCTCCCCTTTCAAGCCTTATCTTCTCTTATGGGTCTTTTTGCTGCTTTGGGGACCCCCTTTTGGTGAGACACGCACCCCTGGGCGAGTCAGGGACGCCATGACCCCCGCGGACCCCACTCAGGGTCAGCTGGGTAGACACTTCCATCCGTGGGAGGACCCAGGCCCCCTTTCCCGGCCACATTGTTTTTTTCCTTCAACAGGTGCCTCGACCTCCACTTTCAAGCAGTATCTTCCCTTATGGGCCTTCTTTGCCTATTGCCACTTTGGGGTGCCCCAGTGGGTGAGACACGCACCCCATGACCCCCGCGGTCCCCAAGTAGTGGCTGCTGGGAAGGCAGTTTCGTCCGTGGGAGGACTCAGACCCCCCTTCTCTGATGCACCAATTTTTTTTCCTTCGACAGGTGTCTCTACCTCCTGTTTCAAGCCTTATCTTCCCTTATGGGCCTTCTTGCCACTTTGGGGTGCCCCCTGCGGGTGAGACACGCACCGTGTTTGCAAACCAGAGATGCCACGATCCCCTGGGCCCTATGCAGGGGCTCCTGGGAAGGCATTTTCGTCCGTGGGAAGACCCAGGACCGCTTCTCTGCCATGCCATTTTTTTCCTTCTACAGGTGACTCTCCCTCCCCTTTCCAGCCTTATCTTCCCTTATGGGCCTTCTTGCCACTTTGTGGTGCCCCCCATGGGTGAGACGTGCCCCAGGGGCGAGCAAGGGATGCCACGACCCCTGAATACCCCATACAGCATCTGCTGGAAAGGCACTTTCATCCATGGGAGGACCCTGTCCCCTGTTCTCTGCTGCGCCATTTTATTTCCTTCCACAGGTGCATCTACCTCCCTTTCAAGCCTTGTCTTCCCTTATGCATCTCCTTGCAGCTTTGAGGTGCCCCCTGTGGGTGAGACACGTGCCCTGGGGGTGAGCCAGGGATGCAACGACCCCCACAGACCCCATGCAGGGGCTCTGCAAAGGCACTTTTTTCCATGGGAGGACCCAGGACCCCATTCTCTCCTGTGCCGTTTTTTTTTTTTTCTTTCCAAAGGTGTCTTTCCCTCTCCTTTCAAGCCTTATCTTCCCTTATGGGTTTTCCTGACCCTTTTGGGTGGCCCCCCATGGGTGAAACATCTGCCCCAGGTGTGAGCCAGGGATGCCACGATCCCCTGGGCCCCACGCAGGGCTGCTGGGAAGGCACTTTCGTCCATGGGAGGTCCCAGGCCACCCTTCTCTGCCATGCCATATTTTTTCCTTCCACAGGTCCCTCTACCTCCCCTTTCAAGCCTTATCTTCCCTTATGGGCCTTCTTGCCACTTTGGGGTGGCCCCCATGGGTGAGACATGCACCCCGGGGGCAAGTCAGGGATTCCATGACCCCCACGGACTGTAGGCATGGTCTGCTGGGAAGGTACTTTTGTCTGTGGGAGGACCCAGGGCCCCCTTCTCTACCACACTGTATTTTTTCCTTCCACAAGTGCCTCTACCTCCCCTTGCAGGCCTTATCTTCCCTTCTCGGCCTTCTTCCTGCTTTGGGGTGCACTCCAGGGGCGAGACACACACAGTGTGTGCCAACCACTGATGCCACTATCCCCTGGGCCTCGTGCAGTGGCTGCTGGGAAGGCACATTCATCTGTGGGAGGACCCAGACCCCCTTCCCTATGGCACCATTTTTTTTCCTTCCACAGGTGCCTCTACCTCCCATTTCAAGCATTATCTTCCCTTTTGGGCTTTCTTGCCACTTTGGGGTGCCTGCCGTGGGTGAGACATGCACCATGGGTGCAAACCAGGGATCCCACCATCCCTGGGGCCCCACACAGTGGCTGCTGGGAAGGCACTTTCATCCGTGGGCAGACCCAGGTCCCCCTTGTCTGCCACGCTGTCTTTTTTTCCTTCCACAGGTGCCTCTACCTCCCTTTCAAGACTTATCTTTCCTTATGGGCCTTCTTGCAGCTTTGGGATGCCTTCCGTGGGTGAGACACATAGTGTGGGTGTGAACCAGAGACACCAGTATACTCTGGGACCAGGGCAGGGGCTGCTGGGAAGCCACTTTCCTCCATGGAGGACCCAGGCCCCCCTTCTCTTCCAAGCCATTTTTTTTCCTTCCACAGGTGTCTCTACCTCCCCTTTCAAGCCTTATCTTCCCCTATGGGCCTTCTTGCCACTTTGGGGAGCCCTGCATGGGTGAGACACACACCCTGGTGATATATGCCTTCATTTCAGTGTTCAATGTAACATTTGATTCAACAGTTTGAAGATACTCCTCTTGTAGTATCTGCAAAGAAACATTTTGGTGCCTACTGAGGCCTACAGTGAAAAAACAAATATCCCAAAATGAAAACGAGAAAGAATCTATCTGTGAAACTGCTTTGTGATGTGTGGATTCTGCTTTCAGGGTTAAAGTTTCTTTTGATTAAACAGTTTGGTAACAGCCTTTTTGTAGAATCAGCCAGGGGACACTTCAGAGTCCACTGAGACCTACAGTGAAAAACTGAATATCCTATTATAAAAACTAGTAGGAATCTACCTGTGAAACTGCATTGTGATGTGTACATTCAGCTCACAGAGTTAAACCTTACTGTTGATTCAGCAGATTGGAAAGTCTCTTTTTGTAGAATGTGCGAGTGGAAATTTTGGAGGGCACTGAGGCATATAGTAAAAAACTGAATATCCCACGATAAAAACTAGAAAGAAGCTATCCGTGAAACTGCTTTGTGATATGTGGATTCAGCTCACAGAGTGAAACGTTTCTTTTGATTGAGCAGTTTAGAAATATCCTATGATAAAAACTAGAAAAAAGCTATCTCTGAAATTGCTTTGTGATGTCTGCATTCAGCTCACAGAGTTAATCCTTTCTTTTGATTCAGTAGTTCAAAAACACTCTTTTTGCAGAATCTCCAAAGGGACAATTTAGAGCCCACTGAGGCCTGTAGTGAAAAACTGAATATCCCAAAATAAAAAAAAGAAAGAAGCTATTTGTGAACCTGTTCAGTGACTTGTGCATGCATTTCGCAGAGCTAAACCCTACTTTTGATTCAGTAGTTTGGAAACACTCTTTTTGTAGAATCTGCAAAGGGACATTTCTGAGCCCACTGACGCCTACAGTGAAAAACCAAACATCCTGAAATAAAAACTAGAAAAAAGCTATCTGTGAAACTGTTTGTGATGTGAACATTCAGCTTACACAGTTGAATCCTCCTTTTAATTCAGCAGTTTGGAAACATTCTTTTTGTAGATGGTCCATCAGAACATTTCAAAGGGCATTGAGGCCTATAGTGAAAAACTGAATATCCCTTGATAAAAACTAGAAAGAAGCTATATGAGAAACTGCTTTGTGAAGTGTGGATTCAGCTCACAGAGTGAAACCTTTCTTTTGATTAGGCAGGTTGGAAACATTATTTTTGTAGAATCTGCTAAAGAACTTTTCGCAGCCCACTGAGGCCTAGAGTAAAACACTGAATATCAAGCCATAAAAACAGAAAGTATGCTATTTGTGAATCTGCTTTTTGAGGTGTGAATTCAGCTGAGAAAGTTAAACCTACCTTTGATTCAGCAGGTTAGAAACAATTTTTTGTGGAATCAACCAAGGGACATTTCATACCTCACTGAGACCTATAGTAAAATATCAAATATCTCACCAGAAAATTTAGAAAGAAGCTATCTGTGAAACTGCTTTGTGATTTGTGGATCCACCTCACACAGTTAACCCTTTTATTTGATTCAGTAGTTTCAAAGCACTCTTTTTGTAGAATCTATGAAGAAACATTTCAGAGCCCCCTGAGGCCTTTAGTGAATAACTGAATATCCCATGATAAAAACTAGAAAAAAGCTATCTGAGAAACTGCTTTATGATGTGTACAGTCAGCTCACACAATTAAACTTTTCTTTTGATTAAGCAGTTTGGAAACACTCTTTTTGTACAATCAGAAAAGGGAAATTTAGGAGTGTAGTGAGGCCTATAGTGAAAAAATGAATATCCCGTGATAAAAACTAGAAAAATCTATCTGTGAAATTGCTTTGTGTTGGCTGCATTCAGCTCACAGAGTTGAACCTTTCTTTTGATTCCACAAGTTGGAAACAGTCTTTTTGTAAAATCTGTAAAGGGGCATTACAAAGCCCACTGAGGCCTATAGGGAAAACCCGAATATTCCACAGTAAAAACTGGAAGAAAGGTATCTGTAAAACTGCTTTGTTATGTGTCAATTCACCTCATGGAATGAAACCTTTCTTTTGATTAAGAAGATTGGAAACATTCTTTTTATAGAATTGGCAAAGCAACATTTCAAAAGTCATTGAGACTCATAGTGAAAATCTGAATATCCCTGGATAAAAACTAGCAAGAAGCATCTGTGAAACTGCCTTGTGATGTGTGCATTCAGCTCACAGGGTTAAACTTTTCTTTTGATTTGGGAGTTTGAAAACACTCTTTTTGTAGGATCCACGAAGCTACATTTTGGAGGTCATTTTGACCTATAGTGAAAAACTGAATATTTCTTGATACCAACTGGAAATAAGGTATATCTGAAACTGCTTTGTGATGTGTGGATTCACCTCACAGATTAAACATTTCTTTTGATTAACCAGTTTGGAAACACTCTTTATGTAGAGTCTGTGAAGAGATATTTCCTAGCACAGTAAGGCCTATACTGAAACACTGAATATTCCTAGATAAAAACTAGAAAGAAGCTATCTGTAAAACTGCTTTGTGATATGTGAAAACAGCTCACAGAGTTAAACTTTACTTTTTAATCAGCAGTTTGGAAACACTCTTTTTGTAGAATCTGTGAAGGGATACTTTGAGCACAGTAAGGCTTACAGTGAAAAACCAAATATCCAGCAATAAAAACTAGAAAGAAGCTCTCTGTCAAACTGCTTTCCTATTAGTCAATTCAGCTCAGAGTTAAAACTTACTTTTTATTAAGCATGTTGGAAACACTTGGTTTGTAGAATCTGTGAAGGGAAATTTTGAAGCCCACTGAGGCTTATAGTGGAAAACTGAATATTCCGTCACAAAAACTAGAAAGAAGCTATATGTGAAATGGCTTTGTAATTTGTGGATTCATCTCACAGAATTAAACCTTTCTTTTGATTCAGCAGGTTGGAAACACTATTTTTGTAGAATCTGCAAAGGGACATTTTTCATTCCACTGAGACTTACAGTAAAATATCAAATGTCCAGCCATAATAACAGGAAAGGTGCTATCTGTTAATCCACTTTGTGAGGTGTGGCTTCAGCTGACAAAGTTAAACCTATCTTTTGATTCAGCAGGTTAGAAACACTTTTTTTGTAGAATCCATGAAGTGACATTTCACACCTCACTGAGGCCTATAGTAAAATGTCGAATATCCCACCGTAAAACCTAGAAAGAAGCTATCTGTGACACTGCTTTGTGATGTGTGTATTCTGCTCACAGACTTAAACCTTACTTTTAGTTCAGCGGTTTTGAAACACTCTTTTTGTACAAACTGCAAAGGGACATTTTGGTAGGCCTTGAGACTTATAGTGAAAAACTGAATATCATGCAATAAAAACTAGAAAAAAGCTATCTGTGAAATGGCTTTGTAATGTGTGGTTTCAGTTCAGAGAGTTAAACCTTTCTTTTGAATCAGCAGTTTGTAAACACTCTTTCTGTAGAATCTGCAAAGAGATATTTCAAGGAGCAGTAAGTCCTATAATGAAAAACTGAATACCCCACAATACAAACTAGAAAGAAGTTGTGAAACTGCTTTGCAATGTATAAGTTCATCTCCAAGAGTGAAACCTTGCTTTTGATTCAGCAGCTCAGTAACACTCTTTTTGTAGTTTGTGAGGAGCCATTTTGCAGCCCATTGAGGCCTATATTAAAAAAATGAATATGCCATAATGAAAACTAGAAAGTTGTTATCTGTTAAACCACTTTGCAAGGTGTGGATTCAAAAAGTTGAACTTTTCTTTTGATTCAGCATGTTTAAAACACTCTTTTTCTAGAATCTCTGAAGGAACATTTCAGAGCCCACTGATGCCTATATCGAAATACAGAATATCCCATGATAAAAACTAGAAAGAAGCTATCTGAGAAACCACTTTGCAGTGTGTGAATTCATCTTAAAGAGCTAAACCTTTCCTTTGATTCAACATGTTGGAAACCCTCTTTGTGAAGAATCTATGAAGGGACAGTTCAGATCCCATTGAGGCCTATAGTGAAAAATGGAATATCCTGTGAAAAAAACTAGAAAGAATCTAACTGTAAAACCGCTTTGGGATGTGCGGATTTGTTTCATCGAGATAAACATTTCTTTCTTTCCAGCAGATTGAAACCACTCTATGTATAGAATTTACAAATGGACATTTCAGAGCTTTATGAGGCCTATAGTGAAATACGGAATATCCCATTATAAAACCCATAAAGAAGCTATTTGTGAAACTGCTTTGCATGTGTGGATTTAGCTCACAGAGTTGAACCTTTCTTTTGATTCAGCAGGGTGGATACACTCTTTTTGTAGGATCAGCGGAAGAATACATTGGAGTCCCCTGAGGCCTATAGTGAAAAACTGAATATCCCACGATAAAAACTAGAAAGAAGCTATCTGTGAAACTGCTATGTGGTGTGTGGATTCAGCTCATAGAGTTAAACCTGTCTTTCAATTCAGCTGGTTGGAAACCCTCATTTTGCAGAATCAGTGAAGGGACATTACAAGGCCCAGTGAGGCCTATAGTGAAAAACCGAATATTCCGTGACAAAAACTAGAAAAAAGTTTCCATTGAATTGTCTTATGATGTGTGTAGTTATTGAACAGAGTTAAAACTTACTTTTGATTCAATAGGTTGGAAACATTCTCTTTTTAGAATCTACAGTGGGGTATTTGGAGCCCATTGAGGCCTATAGTGAAAAACTGAATATTCCAGGATAAAAACTAGAAACAAGATATCTGTAAAACTGCTTTGCTATGTGTGGATTTACCTTACAGAGTTAAAAAAATTCTTTTGATTCTGCAAACACTCTTCTTGTGGAATGTACAAAGGATATTTCTGAGCCCATCAAGAACTATAGTGAAAAACAGAATATCACATGATAAAAACTAGAAACAAGCTCTCTGGGAAACCGCTTGGCAATGAGTGCACTCATCTAACAGAGTTAAACCTTTCTTTGATTCAGCAGGTTGGAAATCCTCTTTTTTTAGAATCTACTAAGGGATGGCTGGGTGCAGTGGTTCACCCCTGTAATTCCAGCACTTTGGGAGCTGAGTTGGGCAGTTCACGAGGTCAGGAGATTGAGACCACCCTGGCTAACATGGTGAAACACCGTCTTTATGAAAAATTAAAAAAAAAAATAGCCAGACTTGGTGGCAGGCCCCTGTACTTCCAGCTACTCTGGAGGCTGAGGCAGGAGAATGGCATGAACCCAGGTGGCGGAATGTGCAGTGAGCCAAGATCACCCACTGTACTCCAACCTGGGTGACAGAGTGAGACTCCATCTCAAAAAAAAAAAAAAAGCACTAAGGGACATTTTGGGGCCCATTGAAGTCTTTAGTGAAAAATTGAATATCCCGCAATAAGGACTAGTAAGCAGCTATCTGTGAAACCGCTTTGTGATGTGTGGATTCATCTCACAGAGTTAAGCCTTTTTTTGATTCAGCCAGTTCAAAACACTCTTTTTGTAGAATCTGTGAAGGGACATTTCGGAGCCAATTGAGGCCTATAGTGAAAAACCGAATATCCCACTATACAAACTAGAACAAGCTATCTGTGAAACCACTATGTCATATTTGGATTTATTTCACAGAGTTAAAGCTCTTTTTTGATTTGGCAGGTTGAAAACACTCTTTAAGTAGAATCTCTGAAGGGACATATCAAAGCCCATTGAGGCCTATTTTGAAAAACTGAATATCCCACAATAAAAACTAGAAACAAGGGCAGGCACTGTGGCTCACACCTGTAATCCCAGCACTTTACAAGGATAAGGCAGGCCGATCACCTGAGGTCGGGAGTTTGAGACCAGCCTGACCAACATGGAGAAACCCTATCTCTACTAAAAATACAAATTTCTCTGGGCATTGTGGTGCATGTTTCTAATCCCAGCTATTCAGGAGGCTGAGGCAGGAGAATTGCTTAAACCCAGGAGGCAGAGCTTTCGGTGAGCAGAGATTGCACCATTGCATTCCAACCTGGTCAACAAGGGCAAAACTCCATCTCAAAAAAAAAAAAAAATCTAGAAGCAAACTGTCTGTGAAACCTTTATGCGATGTGTGGATTCATCTCACAGAGGTGGACCTTTCTTTTGATTCAGCAGGTTGGAAACCTCTTTTAGTAGAGCCTAAGAAGGGACATTTCAGAGCCCATGAAGTCTATTGGAAAAAAAATGAATATCCCACGATAATAATGAGAAACAATCTACCTGTGAAACCTCATTGCAATGTGTAGATTCACACATTGAATCCACAGAGATAAACCTTTCTTCTGATTTAGCAGGTTAGAAACTCTTTTTGTAGAATATACAAAGGGACATTCCAGAGCCCATTAAAGCTTATTGTGAAATACCGAATATCTGGAGATTAAAAAAAAAAAAAAAAAAAAACAGTAACAAACTATCTATGAAGCCGCTTTGGGATATGTGGATTCATTTCACAGAGTTGAACTTTTTTTTTGATTCAGCAGTTTAGAAACCCGATTTTTTAAAATCTACGAACGGACGTTTTGGAACCCATTGAGGCCTGTAGTGAAAAACCGAATATTCCATGACAGTAACTAGAAACAAGCTATCTGTGAAATCACTTTGTGGTGTGTTCATTCATCTCACAGAGGTAAACCTTTCTTTTGATTCAGCAGGTTGGAAACACTATTTATGTAGAATCCACGAAGGGACATTATGGAGCCCATTGAGGCTGATAGGGAAAAACCCAGTATCCCGCAATAAAAACAAGAAACAAGGTATCTGTGAGACCACCTAATGATGTGTGGATTCATGTCACAGAAGTAAACCTTTCCTTTGATTCAGTAGGTTGGAAAAATTATTTTTGTAGAATCTACAAAGGGACATTTCAGAGCCCATTAAGGCCTATAGAGAAAAACAGAATTTCCCATGATAAAAAATATAAACAAAGGATCTGTGAAACCACTTTGTTTTTGTTATGTGTGGATTCATCTCACAGAGTTAAACCTTTCTTTTGATTCAGTGGCTTGGAAACACTCTTTTTGTAGAATCTATGAAGGGACATTTCGGAACCCATCGAGGCCTGTAGTGAAAAACCAAATACCCACATATTAGTCTGATGGGCTTCCCTTTGTGGGTGACCCGACTTTTCTCTCTGGCTGTCTTTAACATTTTTTTTCTTAATTTTAACCTTGGTGACTCTGACGATTATGTATATTTCTCAGGATTGCTCTTCTCGAGGAGTATCTCTGTGGTGTTCTCTGTATTTCCTGAATTTGAAGGTTGGCCTGTCTTCCTAGGTTGGGGAAGTTCTCCTGGGTAATATATTGAACAGTGTTTTCCAGCTTGGTTCCATTCTCCCTGTCACTTTTAGGTGACCAATCAAATGTAGATTTTGTGTTTTCACATAGTCCCATATTTCCTGGTGGCTTTGTTCTTTCCTTTTAAGTCTTCTTGCTATAATCTTATCTTCTTGCTTTATTCATTAAGTTGATTTTCAATCTCTGATTTTTTTCCACTTGATTTATTCAGCTATTGATACTTGTGTATGCTTCACAAAATTCTTGTGCTTTGATTTTCCAGCTCCATCAGGTCATTTATGTTCTTATCTAAACTGGTTATTCTAGTTATCAATTTGTCTAATCTTTTTTCATGGTTCTTAGATTCCTTGCATTGGGTTAGAATATGCTTTTTTAGCTCAAAGGAGTTTGTTATTACCCACCTTCTGAAGCCTACTTCTGTCAATTCATCAAACTCCTTCTCCATCCAGTTTTGTTCCCTTCCTGGTGAGTTGTGATTTTTTTTTCTGAAATGGAGTCTCTCTGTGTCACATAGGCTGTAGTGCAGTGGTGTGATCTTGGCTCACTGCAACCTCCGCTGCCCAGATTCAAGCAATTCTCCTACCTCAGCTTCCTAAGTAGCTGGGATTACAGGTGCATGCCACCATGCCCATGTAATTTATTGTATTTTTAGTAGAAACTGGGTTTCTCCATACTGGCCAGGCTGGTCTCAAACACCTGACCTCATGTTCCACTCACATTAGCCTCCCAAAGTGCTGGGATCACAGGCCTGGACCACCGCCCCTGGCCTATATTTTTTATATATGAGCAAAGAACAATCAGACCCAGTCATCAGTGTGGCAATTTTCTAGGCAACAAGGGAGGGAGGAACTTGGAGGTTGTGGCAGTGGCAGTGGAGAAGACACAGTTGCTCTGGGCTGTGTGCAGGTGGCCTGAGCTGCCTTGCTCCTTGAGGCCTCAATTTTCAGAGTAGCAGTGTCCGCTAGGTGATGCCCAATGTCTGCCAATGAGAGTGTCAACCTGGAGTGAATTGAGATCACCCAGAGTGAGGGAGGAGGAGAAGGATGGAGGCCCCCACAGCACAGTGAATAGCCGTACTCTCCCAGGTGGTCCCCACAACGAATCGACCAGGCTCCCTGAAAAACATAGCCTAAGTCCCCACCCATCAGATCATCTGGAACTTCCATTCAGAGATGAGAGACGGACTGGAAATTCTCTCAGTCAATGTCCAAGCTTAAAAGAGTCACTGGCACACCCACTAGAAGTAAGACAATTTTTAAAAGAATCCTTTCTGTGTTTTGGGTGCATCTGTGTATTTCTGTATAACAAAATTACTTATTGTAAATGTTACTTTTTTTTTACTCATTACGTGTATGGTTCTGTGATAGACCAGGGGACTCGGCAGCTCAGAGTCCATAAGGCCAGAAGCTGACATCCTCAATTTCTATTTAGATTGAATTTAAACAAGCCAGCCAAACACCTGCAGTGAAACTCTCATAAAGACAAGCTATTGCAAAAGGAAAAACAAAAAACAAACAAAATAAAACAATGCTGTCAGGGGCAGTGGCTCATGTCTGTCATCCCCACACTTTGGAGGCCTGAGGGCACGTGGATACCTTGATCCCAGGCAATCCAGAATAACCTTGGCAACATGGTGAAAACTCCTCTCTACAAAAATACAAAAATTAGCTGGTTTCATGGCCTGGACTCAAAATTAATAAATAAATTAAAATTTAAAATAAATATCTTAAATGCTGTTTTCTGTTATTTTCGCCTCCTACCCTGAGAAGAACATAATATAGCTGTTGTCTGTCTGTCTGTCTGTCTGTCTGTCTGACCATCTGTTTGTGACAGGGTCTCACCCTGTCTGTCACCAGGCTATGGTGCATTGACACCATTATGGCTGACTGCAGCATCAACCTCCCCATGGTTAGGTGATTCTCCCACTTCGGCCTCCTGAGTAGCTGGGACCACAGGTATATACCTCGGGTTTTGGCTGTGTTGTCCAAGACTTGACTCGAGCTCCTGGGCTCAAGCATTCCTACAGCCTCAGCCTCCCTAAGTGTTGCAGTTGCAGGTGTGAGCCACTGCACCCAGCCTGACTTAATACATCTGGTCTCATTACATCATGACCACGTGCCCATGAAGAACTCAAGTCAAGGGAGAGACTTTCAGCATTCTCTCCTGAAAGTGGGGAGATGGATGGTGGCCAAGTGTCCTGTACTCCTGTGGTTTTAGGTGGCCACGTGTAGAGGATAGATTTCAAATGTTTCTGTAGAGGTGCAAGCCACAGTCATTCGGGGCATCCTAGCAAAGGATGGGGATTCTGATAATGTCTCAAGGGCCAGGAAGGGCCAGGATCTGCCAAGGCCCGTGTTCCTGGGTGGAGTTGATGGAATCCAGCATAGAGGGGGCCATCAGTCCTCAGTGAGTTCTAGCCCTAGGCCCCACTCTTCAGACCAAGTTAGAAGGAACAGTCCCTCGTCCTTCATGCCACATTCCTCCACTGAACTTGACAGTGGATCCGTTTTCCAAACATGAGGTGACTATTGGTTTGAAATGGATAACAAGGGGCTGGTCTTTCCTGAGTGGGCAGGATGAAGAAGTCATTCTGTGGCATAGAATGAGGTGTGCCTTGAATCTAGAATCTCCAGTTAAAACTAATGAAGGTGGCCGGGCGTGGTGGCTCATGCCTGTCATCCCAGTACTTTGTGAGGATGAGGCAGGCAGATCACGAGGTCAGGATTGTGAGACCATCCTGGCCAACATGGTGAAACCCCATCTCTACTAAAAATACAAAAATTAGCCAGGTGTGGTGGTACATGCCTGTAATCCTACCTACTCAGGAGGCTGAGGCAGGAGATTCTCTTGAACCTGAAAGGCGGAGCCACTATAACTCCAACCTGGGGGACAGAGTGAGACTCCGTCTCAGAAACAAACAAACAAACAAAGCCAACGAAGGTGTTTAACTCAAAGTGTCATGTTCGGATCTCTTGATAGGATACATCCAGCACCCGGGGAAATGTTGGGGGGATGGGGTGGAAACTATTTTGTGGTCTTAAGGGAAGGTTTAAGAAGTAGTCCCACAAACGTGATGGCCTAAGGAATCCCCTCCGCTCAAGAAGCGATATTCACTTCTAGCCATGTCACCCATGCAGGAGAATCAGGCTCTCTACAGAACCTGTCGTGAAATGGGCTCACTGCTCCATTCAATGAAAATGCGATAATCTGTTTCCTGGCATGCAGCCGCAGATGAACGATGATGCCAAGATCAAAGAAACCTCCAGTCTATGTGCTCCATACGCTCGCAGAAAGAGAGCATCAGGCTCTACTCACACAGTGTGGTTTTGTAACCTCCAGCGTGTGTGCTGGTGGGGGGCACTGTGGACAGAGGAGGGGAGAGAGTGGTGGTGTCCGGCGGGTGCTGGTGACAGGGGACGTGGTTGGGTTGCTCAGAGTCTAGGGAAATCATCACCTTTCAGGACGTCCTCCGCTCCTGCTCTCCTATGTGCCCTACTCTCCACATCTTCACAGTGCAGTGGAGACCATGGGGGTGGAGGTTGTCATAGCGCTGGACTTAAGCAGAGGAAGGCCACCCTCCCAAGGGTGTCCCTGGAGTGGGTGCCTTGGGCAGGCTCACAAGGATGCTGATGGTGACAGTGACAATGATGTACGGTGGAGGCCGCAGGCCAATGCAGAGGTATGCATTTGACCTTGTTGGGAGTGGTCAGCTTTGTAGAGTCCCTTGCGTTCTTCAGAAGAAGCTAGCAAGTACTGTCTCCAGGATCACAGTTCCCAGCAGAGGCACTTTTGTTCTCACAGAATCCTGGGATGGAAAGTTCTCAGCAGGCTTCAGCCTCCTAGCTGAACAGCTGAAACCACTACTAGGAGGTTTTTCAAAGAGCCAGTGGTTCCTCAAGGGGCTGTGGGTAGTTTTGGAAATGGAGAGAAGTGTTTGGAGATCCATATTTAAGACAGAATGGACAGGGCTCAGTCACGAGTCATTTAGGACACGGGGAGTTACAGATAGAGAGAACCCTCCTAGCATCATAGGTGAACAGACGTACGATTTATCGAGACAGTAAGTGTAGGTCACAGCTGAGGCAATGGAGAAGCAAATCCAGATTTTAGGGTTGGATCTTTATTAATATGCAATATCTATGAGGTATCTGAGCCCAGAAATAACACACCAGTTCTGTACAGGATTCTGCATGGAAATCAAATCTGGGGTTTCTAAAGTTAAGAATTCAGCCTTGGTAATAGATTAGGTTAAATTAGATCTACCTGAGTCTATTTTAGAAAAAGGACAGGGAGGGAGAGAATAAGACAGAGAGAGAAAGATACAGAGAGAGACAGGCAGAGAGAGACAAAGACACAAAAAAGAAAGAAAAAGAGAGAGACACAGAAAAATAAAGAGACAGAGAGACAGATGGACAGACAAAGAGACTGACAGAGAGAGACAGAGACAGAAAGAGAGACAGAGAGAGAGACACACGGATAAAGAGAGAGAGAATGACAGAAGACAGTGAGACACAGACTGAGAGAAACAGAGACAGGAAGAGAGAGAGAGAGAGAGAAACAGACAGAGGGAGAGAGACAGACAAAGAGAGAGATAGACAGATGGACAAAGAGATAGACAAAGAAAGTTTCATAGACGTCTGTGTGAAGAGACCACCAAACAGGCTTTGTGTGAGCAACATGCCTGTTTATTTCACCTGGGTGCAGGCCGGCAGAGTCCAAAAAGAGAGTCAGCAAAGGGAGATAGGGGTGGGGCCATTTTATAAGATTTGAGTAGGTAAAGGAAAATTACAGTCAAAGTGGAGTTGTTCTCTGGTGGGCAGAGTGGGGGTCACAAGGTGCTCAGTGGGGGAGTTTTTGAGCCAGAATGAGCCAGGAAAAGGACTTTCACAAGGTGATGTCATCACTTAAGGCAAGGACGGGCCATTTTCACTTCTTTTGTGGTGGAATATCATCAGTTAAGGCAAGGACCGGCCATTTACACTTCTTTTGTTGTGGAATGTCATCATTTAAGGCAGGGCAGGGCATATTCACTTCTTTTGTGATTCTTCAGTTACTTCAGGCCATCTGGGCGTATACATGCAAGTCACAGGGGATGCGATGGCTTGATTTGGGCTCAAAGGCCTGACATTCCTGCCTTCTTATATTAATAAGAAAAATAAAATAGTGTTGAAGTGTTGGGGCAGTGAAAATTTTTGGGGGGTGGTATGGAGAGAGAGAATGGGTGATGTTTCTCAGGGCTGCTTCAAGCGGTATTAGGGGTGGCATGGGAACCTAGAGTGGGAGAGATTAAGCTGAAGGGAGATCTTGTGGTAAGGGGTGATATTGTGGGGTTGTTAGAAGAAACATTTGTCGTATAAAATGATTGGTGATGGCCTGGATACAGTTTTGGATGAATTGAGAAACTAAATGGAAGATACAAGGTCCGAATAAAAGAAGGAGAAAAATGGGTATTAAAGGACTAAGAATTGGGAGGACCCAGGACATGCAATTAGAGAGTGCCCAAGGGGATTCAGCGTAATTACTTGCTTGGTTGGCAAGTTTTTGGTCTCTTTCCTTGAGTTTTTTTATGTTGTCATACACCAGGCCAGGTTGTTTTAGGTAAAAACAACAGTCTTCATTTAAGAATATACACAGTCCTCCTTTTTCAGCAGTGAGTAAGTCAAGGCCTCAGCGGTTTTGGAGGACAACTGCAGCTAAAGAGTCAACTTTAGCCTGGAGGACTGATAAAGTTTGTGGCACATCTGTGATGCTAGCAGAGAAGTCATTAGACAGGCTACGGAAGGTCGTGACAGAGGTTGAAATGACTGCTATTCCAGTACCGAGAGCAACAGTGGAGGCAGAAAGTCCTAAACCAACCATCAAGGAAATTAGTGGAATAACCCTTTTTTGTCATGTCGGTGTCATGAGGGGAACAGGGAGCTCTTCAGTCCCACTGGCAAATTGAATTTTGGGGGTAAGGAAAACTAGTGTGCATGTGCCTGTCCAATTAGCAGGTAGACACATGTAGGTAGAGGATCCACAGAGGAAGAAGAGACCTTGTGTGAGGCAAAACTGGAGATGTAAAGTAAAAAAGTGAAAAGGAGTGCTGAAAGGGGTGTCTTGTACCCAGACTCCTAGGGATCCAGCTAGGGCGGCAGCTGTCAGAGGTTGTAATGGGGACTGATGGGGTAACTGCATAGAGGAGGATGTTCAATTTTCATGATGTACGAGAAAACGTTGATTATCTATGAGCAACCTTTCACTGTTATTTTGGGGGCTGGGTATAAGTAAACAAGAAGAGGGCCTGGGAGGAGAGTCTGATGAGCAAGGGGAAGGTAGCCAAGGATGGAGTGAAATACAGGGTAAGTGTCTTCCTAAGCAACAATTACTGCTAATGTTTTTGAGTTTGTCAGTATTGACAGAGGGCTTGTCTGTAATATGGAGCTGGAAGGCTCCAATTGTTTCAGTGATGTGTGTAGTTGGGCTTTGGAGATAAAGAGTAAAGGAACATCAAGAAGGTGAAATATTACCTAGGGGAATTCCAGTGGGTCTTTGCCAAGAGATACATAAAGGAGCAGCAACAGGAATAATAGTTTGTGTTGTGAGAGGTCCAAATATGGGGGGAGTAGAGTTAATATAAGGAGAAAGGTTTTTTAAATAAGTGCGGAGGAGGGCGGCAGCTTGCTGATGTGAAATGTCTGGGAAAGTCTTGCTGGACCTGTCTAGAAAGTAAATGAGTTCCTTAGGAGGGTAAAGGTGAGGGCTGTTAAAGGAAGTTCAGAGGTGTAAGGAGACAGGAGATGTAGCCCAGTCTGTCTGTAAGGCAGGGACAGCTATGTAGGCACTGGAAGAAAGGGAAATGCAAAGCCAGCAGTTGTTCACTAAGGAGGGATTAGAAGCAGCTAGGAGAGAATGGGTAAGGTTGATAGTGTGGTGGAGATAGCTGGGGAGAGGCAAAAGGTGGCATAAGAATGGGAATGAGAATAAGAGAGAGTATAAAAGTAAAGAATAGAACTTCATCAGGGTGGAAGTATTGGAGGGTGCCCTGCCAGCAAAGATCATCTACCCACTCTAAGAGGGAATTAAGAGTGGCGGTTTGGGGATAGCACCAAGAGATATCAGCTGTGATGGCTTGAAGAAACAGTGTAAACCAGCAGTGTAAACAAGAGTACGGCATTTATAAGTAGTTGAGAGCAGAGAATAGGAGTATGACTGGACAGAAAATAGTAGGGATGACAAGATTTTTTGGGCTCAGCCTAAGTGGTGGGGGTGAGTTCATAAAGCCCTGTTGCAAAAAGTAGGGCAAGGACAAACAGACCTAATAGAATGAAGGGATGTATTAGGCTCATAAGGGTTATTACTGTTCTTCAGAAATACGAGTGAGTTTAAGGGAAGTAGGGGAGAGTAATTGCGACTTCCAGGAGGAAGAGGAGGGATTAGGCTGGCTGTCCAATGGACACAGCTTTATTCTGGAATGGTGAACCCAGTGGGGAGGATCCTGCAGGCGGACGGCAGTCAGGGTACTATAGATGACTAAGTAGGGTCCAGTCCATCGAGGTTGTAGAGTTTGAGGGGTCAGATTCTTAACAAGAACTGATCGTCCAGCTAGAGTGTCTTCATATGGCTGGGGATCTGGAGTAGGCAAGAGAAGATTAGCAGCCTGGTGACTTTCCTGCCTAGCCTGTTGGAGGACTGGAAGATAGTCGCCTAGAGGGCTGGTGTCTGGGATGAGGTTGGGACCAAGCAAGAAAGTGCGTCCATATAAAAGTTCAAATGGACTGTACCCTGTAGCATCTCGAGGACAGGTTCTAATTCTGAGAAGGGCGAGAGGTAAAAGTACTGTCCAATCCTTTTTAAGTTGGAGGCTGAGCTTGGTGAGGTGTGTCTTTAAAAGACCATTAGTCGGTTTTACCTTTCCTGAAGATTGAGGATGTTAAGGGATATGAAGGTTCCACTGAATACCAAGAGCCTGAGAAACTGCTTGGGTGATTTAACTAGTAAAGGCTGGTCCGTTATCAGACTGTATAGAGAAGGGAAGGCCAAACCAAGGAATTATGTCTGACAGAAGGGAAGAAATGACCGCGGTGGCCTTCTCAGACTCTATGGGAAAGGCCTCTACCCACCCAGTGAAAGTGTCTACCCAGACTAAGAGATATTTTAGTTTTCTGACCCGAGGCATGTGAGTAAAGTCAATTTGCCAGTCCTGGGCAGGGGCAAATCCCCAAGCTTTATGTGTAGGAAAGGGAGGAGGCCTGAACAATCCCTGAGGGGTAGCAGAATAGCAGATGGAACACTGAGAAGTGATCTCCTTGAGGATAGATTTCCATGATGGAAAGGAAATGAGAGGTCCTAAGAGACAGGCTAGTGGCTTGTAACCTACATGGAAAAGGTTATGAAATGACGACAGAATAGAATGGGCCTGTGAGGCTGGAAGGAGATATTTTCCTTGGTCTAAGAACCATTTACCTTGCGGGGGAAGAGCTTGATAGGTGGAAGTTTCAGCTGTGGAGTAGGTGGGAGTGACGGATGTGAAGGAGAAAAACTGGCCATGAGGGACAAAAGTTGGAGAGCTAGCTGCTTGTCTAGCCACCTTATCAGCATAAGCATTGCCTAGAGCAATGGGATCTGAAGTCTTTTGATGCCCCTTGCAGTGAATGACCCCAGCTTCCTTTGGAAGTAAAGCAGCCTTGAGCAGAGTTTTCTTAAAGAGGCATTAATGATGGAGGACACTTGTGTAGTGAGGAAACCTCTTTCAGCCCATATGACCGCATGGTGGTGCAGAATATGAAAGGCATATTTAGAATCAGTATAGATATTGACACGTAGTCCTTTTGCAAGAGTGAGGGCTTGAATTAAGGCAACTAGTTCATAGCATATCCTGCCTTTGCTGGTGAGTGGCGATTAGGCCTGGTGGAACTGCCATCAATAAACCAAGTGTGATCAGGGTGAGAAACAGGGCAGAAGGAAATGTGGGGAAATGGGGTGAACGTCAGGTGGATCAGAGAGATGCAGTCATGAGGGTCAGGTATGGTATCCAGAATAATGTGGGAGGCCGGATTGAAGTCCAGGCCAGGAATAATGGTAATTGTGGGAGAATAAATGGAGTGAGTATATCTGAAGGAGCCGGGGAGCAGAAAGTATATGTGTCAGGTGTGAGGAAGAAAATAGATTTTGGAAATTATGAGAGCTGTAGAGAATAAGTTGAGCATAGTTTGTGATTTTGAGGGCCTCTAAAAGTATTAGGGTGGCAGCAGACGCTGCATGGAGACATGATGGCCAGCCTAAAACAGTAAGGTCAAGTTGTTTGGACAAAAAGGCTACAGGATGCGATCCCGGTCCTTGTGTAAGAATTCTGACTGCACAGCCCTGCACTTCAGCTGTGTGTAATGAAAAGTGTTGGGATGAGTCAGGGAGAGCTAGAGTGGAGACAGTCTCTAAAGCTGTCTTCAAGGAATGGAAAGAGGAGTGGGGAAACGATTTAGGATCTATGGGGTCAACTAGGTTTCCTTTTGTGAGTTTATATAATGGTTTTGTTAGGATGGCAAAACCAGGTATCCTAACACGAAAGTATCCAACCATGCCTAGGATGGAAAAGAGTTGTTGTTTTGTAGAAGGGGTTGGGGTTTGAGAGATCAGTCAGACACTATCAGCAGGGAGGGCACGTGTGTTTTTATGAAGAATTATGCCAAGGTAGGTAACGGATGGAGAAGAAATTTGAGCTTTGGAGGGGGATATCCTTTGGAGAATAAATGCTGAAGGAGCAGAAGTGTGTCTTGTTGAGAAGATTCAAAGGAGGGGCTACAAAGAAGAACATCACCAATATATTGAATAAGGTGAGAAGTGGAGGGGTGGAAAGAAAGTAAATCATGAGAAAGAGCTTGGCTGAAATAATAAGGGCTGCCCCTGAAACCTTGCAGCATTACAGCCCAGGTAAGCTGCTGGGACTGATGGGTGTCAGGGTCAGTCCAGGTGAAAACGAAGAGAGGCTGGGTTGAAGGGTGTAAAGGGATAGTAAAGAAAGCATGTTTGAGATCTAGAACAGAATAATGGGTTGTAGAGGGAGGTATTGAGGATAGGAGAGTATATGGGTTCAGCACCACAGGGTGGATAGGGAAAACAATTTCATTGATAAGACACAGATCCTGAACCTGTAAGGCTTGTCTGGTTCTAGGACAGGTAAAATGGGGGAATTGTAAGGAGAGTTTATAGGCTTTAAAAGGCCATGCTCTAGCAGGCGAGTGATAACAGGTTTTAATCCTTTTAAAGCATGCTGTGGGATGGGATCTTGGCATTGAGCCGGGTAAGAGTGATTAGGTTTTAATGAGATGGTAAGGGGTGCATGATTGGTCACCAAGGAGGGAATAGAGGTATCTTATACTTGTGGGTTAAGGTTGGGGGATACAAGAAGATGCAAAGGAGGCTTTGGATTGGGAAGAAGGGCAGCAATGAGATGTAGCTGTAGTCCAGGAATAGTCAGGGAAGCAGATAATTTAGTTGAAGTGTCTCGGCCTCATAAGGGAACTGGGCAAGTGGGGATAACTAAAAAGGAGTGCTTAAAAGAGTATTGTCTAAGTTGGTACTAGAGTTGGGGAGTTTTAAGAGGTTTAGAAGCCTGGCCGTCAATACCCACAACAGTTATGGAGGCAAAGGAAACAGGCCCTTGAAAAGAAGGTAATGTGCAGTGGGTAGCCTCCATATTGATTAAGAAGGGGACAGACTTACCCTCCACTGTGAGAGTTACCTGGAGCATCTGTGATGGTCCTGTAGGCTTCCGAGGCGATCTGGCAGTGTCAGTCTTCAGCTGCTAAGCCAAGAAGATCTCAGAAGGGGTCAGTCAGAGAGCCTTGGGCTAGAGTTCCAGGGGCTCTGGAAGTGGCTGCCAGGTGAGTTGAACAGTCTGATTTTTAGTGGGGTCCCACAGAGATGGGATACAGCTTAGGAGGAATCCTGGTCTGTGGGCATTCCTTGGCCCAGTGGCCAGATTTCTGGCACTTGTAGCAAGCTCCTGGGGGAGAAGGTTCTGGAGGAACCCCTGGCACCTGAGGTTGAGGCATTTCGAAGTTCTTGTGTGCTGGAGATGTGTCTGGGGTTTGTCTCACAGTGGAGGCAATGAATTGCAACTTTTTTCTATTATTGTACACCTTGAAGGTGAGGTTAATTAAATCCTGTTGTGGGGTTTGAGGGCCAGAATTTAATTTTTGGAGTTTTATTTAATGTTTGGAGCAGATTGGGTAATAAAATGTATATTGAGGATAAGACGGCCTTTTGACCTTTTAGGGTCTAAGGCTGTAAAGCGTCTCAGGGTTGCTGCCGAATGAGCCATGAACTGGGCTGGGTTTTTTGTATTTGATGAAAAAGAGTCTAAATGCTAACTGATTTGGGAGAGGTCAGATAAAGAAAAAGGAGCATTAACCTTGACTATGTCTTTAGCTCCAGCCAACTTTTTAAGAGGAAATTGCTGGGCAGGTGGGGGAGGGCTAGTCACGGAATGAAACTGTAAGCCAGACTGAGTGTGAGGAGGGGAGGTGATAAAAGGATTATAGGGTGGAGGAGTGGAGGCTGAGGAAGAATTGGGACCTAGCTCAGCCTGGTGAGGAGGGGAGAGGTCAGATGGGTCTGTAGAAAAGGAAGATTAGAAAGACTCAGCAATGCTTGGGGTTGGGACTCAGAGGGCAGGTGGGAGGGAAAGAAGGAAGATTTGGGATGAGTTGCATTGGGCACAGAGACTAGGAAGGGAGTGATATGTAAACGAATGCCTGGATGTCAGACACCTCAGACCGTTTGCCTATTTTACGACAAGAATTATTTAGATCTTGCAGGATGGAAAAATTGAAAGTCCCATTTTCTGGCTCTTTGGAACTACTGTCGAGTTTGTATTGGGGTTAAGCAGCATTGCAGAAGAAAATAAGGCATTTAGGTTTTAGGTCAGGTGTGAGTTGAAGAGGTTTTAAGTTTTTGAGAACACAGGCTAAGGGAGAAGGAGGAATGGAGGGTGGAAAGTTGTCCATAGTGAAGGAAGCAAGCCCAGAGAAAAGAGAGAGTAGAGACACAGAGGGAGGGGTTTCGGGGGTTCTTACCCTCCAGAAAAGCGGGAAAGAGGTCGGGGCACAGAAATAAGGGGTTGGGGTGCAGAGATAAGAGGTTGGGGCACAGAAATAAGGGATTGGGGTGCAGAGATAAGAGGTTGGGGCACGGAAATAAGGGATTAGGGTGCAGAGATAAGAGGTCAGGGCATGCAAATAAGGGATTGGAGGTTCTTGCCCCCCTAGAAAAGCGGGACTTGATGCTAAGGGTGAAGGAGAAGGGGTTGAAGGGTTCTTGCCCCTGCCCCAGAAAAGCAGAGAAGGGGTAGAGACATGGAGAGAAGGGGTTGGGGTACTTGCCCCTCTCCCAGAAAAGCGGGACTTGCCGCTAAGGGTGAAGGACCA
Organism: Homo sapiens; assembly: GCF_000001405.40. Classification (NCBI taxonomy): domain Eukaryota; kingdom Metazoa; phylum Chordata; class Mammalia; order Primates; family Hominidae; genus Homo; species Homo sapiens. The sequence goes on along the minus strand of NC_000012.12, from coordinate 34,266,477 downwards.
AGGCAGATGTCCCTGCGTGGTCTGACACCTCTGAAACCTGGGTGAATAATCAGAGAGGCATCCCTGCAATGATTAAACACCAAGGGAAGGCTGCTTCCCTAATCAGTGACTGGCGCCGGAGTTTGGGGTCCATGGATAAGATGTGTCTCCTTTGTCTCTACCAGAAAATGAAAGGAATTGAAATTAAGAGAAGGGAGAGATTGAAGTGTGGCGCCAAGATTGAAAGGAGAAAGAGGTTAAAGGATAGTGAGGGAGGTTGGAGAAGAGAGTAAAAAGAGGCCGCTTACCAGATTTGAAATTGGTGAGATGTTCCTTGGGCTGGTGGGTCTGAGGACTAGAGGTCATAGGTGGATCCTTTTCACGGAGCAAAGAGCAGGAGGACAGGGGATTGATCTCCCAAGGGAGGTCCCCCAATCCGAGTCAAGGCACCAAATTTCATGTGCATCCATGTGACGAGACCACCAAACAGGCTTTGTGTGAGCAACATGGCTGTTTATTTCACCTGGGTACAGGTGGGCTGAGTCCAAAAAGAGAGTCAGCGAAGGGAGATAGGGGTGGGGCCATTTTATAAGATTTGGGTAGGTAAAGGAAAATTACAGTCAAAGGGGAGTTGTTCTCTGGCGGGCAGAGTGGGGGTCACAAGGTGCTCAGTGGGGGAGATTTTTGAGCCAGGATGAGCCAGGAAAAGGACTTTCACAAGGTAATGTCATCACTTAAAGCAAGGACGGGCCATTTTCACTTCTTTTGTGGTGGAATATCATCAGTTAAGGCAAGGACTAGCCATTTGCATTTCTTTTGTGGTGGAATGTCATCAGTTAAGGCGGGGCAGGGCATATTCACTTTTGTGATTCTTCAGTTACTTCAGGCCATCTGGGCATATACATGCAAGTCACAGGGGATGTGATGGCTTGGCATGGGCTCAGAGGCCTGACAGAAAGAAACAGAGTGAGAGAGACAGAGAGAGATAGAGACACAGAGAGAGAGACAGAGACAGAGAGAGGAAGAGGAAGAGGAAGGGGATACTCAAAAAATAATTACACATATTTTATAATGCTTTGATGCCATAAATGGTGGCCAGAGTATGCTTTGAAAACAACAACATCAAAAACAACAGTGGCAGCAGCAGCACTCACGGATTTCTAGAAAATAAGATGTTATCAGCTATGGTGTAAATCAACCGGTTCTCACTAAACTTTCAGGGATTCACAAAAGCACTAGTTAACAACAGAAGAAAACAGCAGCTAACATGTCCTGGGGAAAATATATGTCTTCCTAAAAATTGGTGATTTTTACTTCTCCTGAAAATACATAAATAAGAAAAAAGAAAGACACAAACAAAGCAAAATAAAACAAGCAAATAAACACGGGCCAAAGCATCGTCTCTGAAAATCTTAAATGAGCAAAACGCTTTTTAGAAAGCGTTTCTATTTTGGGCAAATACTAATAAGGCCCAGGGTAGAGCTGTGACGCCCTTTCCATTTTGAAAATATCCTGGCCTGTGGGAGAAGAAAATAAAACAACTTGATAAAAGGTGATTGAGACCCAGCCAGGATGATGCTTTCCTAGGGAGGGAGGCCTGAGGAGCGAAAGGGGAAAAGACCCAAACTGCAGTCCGGCCAGCCTGCCCGCTTGCCTAGGCAGGTCAAGGTCTAGGCCATCGGCCCAAGCTGCCTCTGGGGAAGTGGGACCATGCCACCTCCAACTTCAAAAACGGTGGCCAATGAGTGAGGCCTAACGACCACCAATGCAATTGTCAGCCTGGAGAGACTGAGATCACTGGTGAGGGGTGGGTGAAGGGGAGAGAAGATGGAGGCACACCCGGGTGGCTCCGGAACTTTCCAAGCAGGGTGCCGGGAGGCAGGGTGGTTGGGGGAAACCCATCTAACACTAAATTAAGGTAAAGGAGCATGGGGGGCCGAGGGATGACTTAAAAATTAAAGTGACCCCTCATAAAGCCAAAGTGGAAGAGCCTATTTGCATTAAAGAAACTAACACAGGAAGAAAAGAAAAATAAAGTGCTGATAAAAAAAAAAAAAACAATGGGGGCCCCCCCGCCAGGGCAGAGGTTCCCTAGGCAACGAGGGAAAGAGGGAGGGACCTCCAGAAGGGAAGGAGAGAAACCAGTTGCCCCAGGCTAGGTGAAGTCGGCCAGACCTCCCTCCGTGCCACCTTGACTTTCAATAACAGTGGCCGCCAGATGATGCCCGAAGACAACCGATGCTTGCAAGTGTCAGTCAGCAAGGAAAAGAAGCAAACGACCTGCGTCACTCTGGGTTGGGGTGGAGTTTGGGGACGGGGGGTGGCGGAGGCCCACCGCGTTGGGGCCTCTTCCGGATCCCTCTCAGACCTGGGCCATTTCTGGGCCCAGGAAGTCCTCTCAGGTGATGCCCCCGACTAGTTGACAAGAGCCCCCAGGGGACACAGCCTACGTTTCTGCCCGTGGGATCGTCTGGAACTTCCATTCCCCCAGAGAGAAAAGAGGACCACTGGGGGCCTGGGTGTGTGAACGAAGTGATGAGACTCTGTCTGTAGAAAAAATTTAAAAATGATCTGGGCACAGTGGCACGTGCCTGTGGTCCCAGGTACTCTACTCTGGAGGCTGAGGAGGAATGATCGCTTGAGCTAAGGTGTATCCAGGCTGCAGTGAGTGATCTATGATGGCATCGCTGCACTCCAGCCAGGATGACAGAGTGAGATGCTGTCTCTAAATCAATCAATCAATCAATCAATCAATCAAATCACTGAAAAGAACTCTCTTTTTCTTACTTTCAACGGATGTCTCTTTAGGCCAGGTGGGCATGGTGGCTCACCCCAGTAATCCTAGCACGTTGGGAGGCCAAGGCCGGAGGATTAAAAAAGAAAGAAAAAGGTGGGGGGAGGTGTATCTCCTTCACTGGTGACTAAAAGTACACAAACCCAACAAGGAAGGAACGTGTGTAAGATTCAGTAAACGCATCCTGTTTTCTTAAATTACCGTACAGAATTGTCATGTTAAAGATGAGTGGGGCTGGGGCGGGGGGAGGTGGCTCACGCCTGTAATCCCAGAACTTTGGGAGGCTGAAGCCGGTGGATCCTGAGGCCAAGAGTTCAAGACCAGCCTGGCCAAGATGGTGAAACCAAGTCTCTACTAAAAATACAAAAATTAGCCAGGCACAGAGGTGGGAGCCTGTAATCCCTGCTACTGGAGAGGCTGAGGCAGGAGACTCACTTGAACCAGGAAGGTGGAGGTTGCAGTGTGCCAAGATCATGACACTGCCCTCTAGCCTGGACGAAAGAACAAGACTCCGTCTCCAAAAAAAATGAATTTGTTATTTAAAAAAAAAAAAAAAAAAAAAAGGAGGAGTGGACCAGCCTGGACAACATGGCAAAACCCCCTTCGTCTCTACTAAAAATGCAAACAAATATCAGCCACGCGTGGTGGCACGCACCTGTGAAGGACACTTATGGAAGCTGAGGCATGAGAATCACTTGAGTCTGGGAGGCGGAGGTAGCAGCGAGCCTAAATGGAGCCACGGCACTCTAGCCTGGGTGACAGAGTGAGACCCCGTCTCAAAAAAAGAAAGATGAGGCCGGGCACGGTGGCTCACGCCTGTAGTCCTAGCACTTTCAGAGGCTGAGGCAGGTGGATCTCAAGGTCAGGAGTTCGAGACTGCCCTGAGCAATATGGCGAAATCTTGTCTCTTCCAAAAATACAAAAAGTAGCTAGGCTTGTTGGTGCACTCCTATAGTCCCAGCTGCTCGGGTGTCTGAGGCAGGAGATTTGCTTGAATCTGGGAGGCAGAGGTTGCATTTAGCCGAGTTCAGGCCACTGCACTCCAGCCTGGGTGACAGAGGGAGACTGCGTCTCAAAAAAGAAAAAAGAATGATGGAAAATATATATATCAGAGTTGGTAAATGGGTACATCCAGTGTGAGATGCACATGGGTGGTGGCCAAGCTTGAATTGCAGTTTCTTTTCTTTTCTTTTCCTTTTTAGCTCTGTCGCCAGGCTGGAGTGCTGTGGCGGGATCCCAGCTCACTGCAATCTTTGGCTGCCTGGTTCAAGCGATTCTCCTGCCTCAGCCCCCCGAGTAGATGAAATTACAGGCACTCGCCACCACGCCCAGCTAATTTTTGTATTTTTATTTATTTATTTATTTATTTATTTATTTATTTATTTATTTTAAGAGTCTCACTCTGTCACCCAGGGTGGAGTGCAAATGGCACAGTCTCAGCTCACCGCAACCTCCACCTCCCAGGTTCAAGCGATTCTCCGTCTTCAGCTTCTCTATTAGCTTGGACTACAGGCGCATGCCACCACACCTGGGTAATTTTTGTATTTTTAGTAGAGACGGGGTTTCACTATGTTGGCCAGGCTGGTCTCGAACTCCTGACCTCGTGATCTGCCCACCTCAGCCTCCCAAAGTGCTGGGATTACAGGCATGAGCCACCACTCCTGGCTAATTTTTGTATTTTTAGTAAAGACAGAGTTTCACCATGTTGGCCAGGATGGTCTTGATCTCCTGACCTCGTGATCTGCTCGCCTTTGGTTCTCTTCTTTTCTTTTCTCTTCTTTTCCTTTCTTTTCTTTTTTCTCTCTCTTTCTTTCTTCCTTTTTTCTTTCTTTCTTTTCTTTCTTTCTCACAGGATTGCCCAGGTTACAGTGGGTCACGGCTGACTGCAGCTTCAACCATTCAGGCCTCAAGTGATCTCCTTATCTCAGCCTCCCGAGTAGCTGGGACTACTGGCATGCACCACCATGCCTAGCTAATCTTTTAATTATTTTCATTATTATTATTTTGAGACAGGGTCTCATTCTGTCACCTAGGCTGGAGTGCCATGACACAATCTCAGCTCACTGCAACCTCCACCTCCTAAGTTCAAGCAACTCACCACCCCCAGCCACCTGAGTTTTTGCCATGTTGGCCATGGCTGGTCTCGAACTCCTGACCTTAAGTGAATCCACCCACCTTGGCCTCCTAATGTGCTGGGATTACAGGCATGAGCCACTGCACCTAACTGAATTTTATTCACTCTATCTCATATATACTCAAAGAATTTTTTTGGAAGTCAATGCTAGCATAATCCCCATTGTGCATATTTCAGGGCTGGGGAGACCTGAAACACACAATGACTTTTATATCATCACAGAAATGAGAAGAAAAAGAATGTTCTAAC